>NC_000022.11:35224715-35376230 GCF_000001405.40 Homo sapiens | reverse complement strand
AACAGACAAAAGATGAACATTCCTAATAAAAGAGCTCGCCAAAGCAATACACACACACATACGCATAATGTATATAGAATTATATAAAATTCTAGAAAATTATGCAAGCTAGTCTAATTGGATCACTGGTTACCTAGTTGAAGTGAGGGGATTACCAAGGAGTACTAGGAAACTTGAGAGTGATGAATACACCCTTTATCTTGATTGTGGAGATGCTTTCACAGGTTATAAGTTGTGTCAAAATTCATCAAATTGTATACTTTAAATATGTGCAGTTTATTGTATGCCAATTATATCTTCATGAAGCTGTAAAACAGATTCTACACAGGCTTTCCTGAAGCTCTTCTCCTCACATTATGGACCCCTCCAGGGGCCCCAGTTGCCCCCACCTCCGTCCTGACTGTGAGCTCCTTGAAGTCAGCAAGGGCCATGTCAGATTCACCTTCTTATGCCCTTAGCACAAGCCAGGCTTTCACTACATATTTAATCAACGAGGCTTAGCAAGCAGGGTGAAATTCCCTGCCTAATATCACACAGCTCACCCGGGATTTGAGGCCAAGTGTGTCTGGCTCACTCAGATTCCACAGCATCGCTGCCCTAGGAGCCCCTGGGCCCGAGGCAGCAAAGGGCATAGAATGGCAACATCTTTTCCAAACATCGTGCAGCCTCTATTAGCACGTACCCAGTGACCGAAGACCCACAGCCAGACAAGAAGGCATTCTAGCCTTTGAAGGATGCAGACTACCAGGCCAGTCTTGCCAAAATGGAGCCTGACTATACCTCCCAGATCTGGTATGCCCTGGTTCAACCTGATCAAGGTACCATTAGGATAGTATAGACTAGCTAAAGCAATAAACTCTAGGCAAAAGGACTGCAGTCAAATCCAGGATCCATGACTTCCCATCTGTGTACACTGGAACACCCTAAGCTTTTATTTCCTCATCTGACAAAATGAGGAATAATAACAGCATTGACTCAAGGGGATGTGGTGAGCATGAAATCAGTTTGATGCATGTAAGAAGCTTACAGTGAGGCTTGGCAGAGGAGGCACACGGTAAATGTTAACCGTTATGTTGGTCAGAGAGGCATCCAGCTCCCCTTTCATGATTCAGCCAGAGCCTTTTTCCTATCTAGAAATTTCTGGATGATTCTGCAGTAGGGCGGGGGTCACTAACATCCAACAAACCTTGATTTCAGTCAGGAGTTTTGAATCTCAGGTTCTTCATATTTACCTTTTTTTTTTTTAGATGGAATTTCGCTCTTGTTGCCCAGGCTGGAGTGCAATGGCACTATCTCGGCTCATTGCAACCTCTGCCTCCTGGGTTCAAGCGATTCTCCTCCCTCAGCCTCTGAGTAGTTGGGATTACAGGCATGCACCACCATGCCCAGCTAATTTGTACATTTTTAGTAGAGATAGGGTTTCACCATGTTGGCCAGGCTGGTCTCGAACTCCTGACCTTAGGTGATCCACCTGCCTTGGCCTCCCAAAGTGCTGAGATTACAGGCGTGAGCCACTGCGCTCGGCCTGTATTTACCTTTTCCTCAAAAAGTAAACTTCTCCGAAATAATTTCAAATGTCCAGAAAAGTCGCAAGCATAGTACAGAGAATTTCTATACACCTTCATCCAGATTCACCAGTTGTTAGCATTTTGTCACATTTGCTTTATCGTATTCTCTCTTGATATACTATGCATATATATTTTTGAATATATACAGATATATATATCTCCTCCTGCCTCCATCTCCTGAGTATCTAGGACTATAGGCTCATGCCGCCACACCTGGATAATTTTTTTCATTTTTAGTAGAGATGGGGTCTTGCTATTTTGCCCAGGCTGGACTCCAACTCCTGACGTCAGGGGCAGTCCTTCTGCCTTGGTGTCTCAGAGTGCTGGGATTACAGGTGTGAGCCACCATGCCTATCTACCCCCAAATTATTTAGCATGTATTATATCTGGAGTGCAGTCCCTGACATATGGTTATAAAAATCAGGAAATCTGGCTTCGATATAAATTCATTATATTGTAGAGGAGGCAAAATTTTACCTATACCCTTTTAGAGTTTTCTGCTGGGCCTGAGAATTAAACTGACATGAGACAGATTAGTAGGAGAAAAGCATACACATTTATTTAACGTACATTTACATAACACGTGAGCCGTCCTAAGGAAAAGAAGACTCAAGGAAACAGAGCCAAACACTTACATGCAGATTTGGACACAGAGTAGTAAACTGTGAAAACGTGACAAGGCAAAGTGGCGTGGGTGTGGGTTAGGGTGGTTAACTGGGTAGAGAAGAGACTAGGAAGAGCTGGCTTTAACAAGCTTTGTTTGTACAGATTTATTTTGGCTTCAACTTCCTGCCATGGATGAAAGGAATGCTAATTTTCTCCTCGTATAGAGAAAAGTCTTCCATATGGAATTTCATCTCTTGCTTTCAGGAAGAAAAAAAGAAGGTCAGAGGCTCACTGCAACCTCTGCCTCCCAGGTTCACGCAATTCTCCTACCTCAGCCTCCCTAGTAGCTGGGATTACAGGCATGCGCCACCACGCCCGGATAATTTTGTATTTTTAGTAGAGATGAGGTTTCTCCAAGTTGGTCAGGCTGGTCTCGAACTCCTGACCTCAGGTGGTCTGCCTGCCTTTGCCTCCCAAAGTGCTGGGATGACAGGCCTGAGCGACCATGCCCAACCCACAGCAACCTTTTTGCACCTGATTTTGTTTGTTTGTTTTTAAAGTGCCTTTATCCCAAAATAATCCTTTTTTTTGAGACAGAGTCTCACTCTGTTTCCCAGGCTGGAGTGTAGTGGTCTGCAACCTCAATCTCCTGGGCTCAAGCAATCCTCCTGCCTCAGCCTCCCAAGTAGCTGGGATTATAGACATGCACCACCATGCCTGGCAAATTTTTTATATTTTGTATTTTTTGTAGAGACAAGGTTTCACCACGTTGCCCAAGCTGGTCTGGAACTCCTGAGCTCAAGCAATCCCCCCACAGTGGCCTCCCCAAGTGCTGGGATTACAGGCATGTGCCACCACGCCTGGCCAGCTCAAAATAATCCTTAATCAATGAATGGGGAGTGGTGGCACACACCTGTAATCGCAGCTACTTGGGAGGCTGAGGCACGAGAATCGCTTGAACCTAGGAGGCAGAGGTTGCAGTGAGCCGAGATTGTGCCACTGCACTGCAGCTTGGGTGACAGAGACCCTGTCTCAAAATAATAATAATAATAATAATAATGATCCTTAATCCAAAGTGGCACATTTTGGGTGGCATATCCTGAACTCCTTCAATATAAAGCCTATATTCAAATGTCCCCTATTGCCCCAATAACCTCCTCTTTAGCCGTTTTACCAGTCCAGGTTCCAGCCCAAGAGGTTGCATTGCATTCACTTGTCCTGCCTCTTTGGGTTCCTCAGCCTTTGAAGTTTTTTTTTTTTTTTTTTTTTGAGGCGGAGTCTTGCTCTTTCGCCCAGGCCGGACTGCAGTGGCGCGATTTCGGCTCACTGCAAGCTCCGCCTCCCGGGTTCATGCCATTCTCCTGCCTCAGCCTCCTGAGTAGCTGGGATTACAGGCGCCCGCCACCACGCCCGGCTAATTTTTTCTATTTTTAGTAGAGATGAAGTTTCACCGTGTTAGACAAGATGATCTCGATCTCCTGACCTCGTGATCCGCCCGCCTCGGCCTCCCAAAGTGCTGGGATTACAGGCGTGAGCCACCGCGCCCGGCCTTGAAGTTTTTGAAAATGACAGGCCGGCCATTTTAACAGATGCCCCTCCATTTGAGTAGCTCCCACCTTTAGGTTGCAGCGCCCCCGCGCCCCGCTCAACAGCGATTTAAAGTGTGAAGCCCCCAGCACAGCGCCTGGCCCGTGGCAGGCCGTCGGGAGATAGAGGTTCCCTAAAACAGTGGTGCGGGGAGTAGCAAGAGGCTAGAGGAGGAGTGAGAGGAAGGGTGGAGGAGCTGCTATGGCTTCCCTAGGATTCAGGCCCCAGACGAGGCCGAGGACGTGCTGGCTGAGGCATGTCCCGACTCCAGACTCCAGCCGGACAGTCCGGACTTTGCCCCAGGGGATTAAACCTGGAGCAGCTGGAACTCTGAGGAAAACAAATCTCTAGACCGTGACTCAGCGAAAACAGACACCGGGACCGTGACTCAGCGAAAACAGATCTCGGGGCGGTGACTTAGCGAAAATAGACCTCGGGACCGTGACTCAGCAGGAAAAACACGGCCACGTGGCTCGGGAAAGGATTACTCAGCAGGGGCAGAGCGGCGCCAGATGGGCTGGGCGCGGCGAGCGGGTGGGGGGCGGGGTAAGGGGGGGTACGCCTGGGCGGGGGGGGGGGGGGCGGGTGGCATCGCGCCCCAGGCTCTGGGGACAGTGTGCCTTTCTTTAGGACCTGGCCCCTGCCTCTTCGACTCTCTAAGCTCTAAAGGGTGGTTAACAGCCTTCAGGGCTGCTGGTAGGCTTAAGTGAGCCCAGAAGTGAGCAGAAGTGAGAACTGCCTAGTAGTTGATACTCACCGGGTCCCTTAACAAAAAACCTTGAACGAATAAACAATGCCTCTGCCAATCACAGGCTCGGCAGCACCGTGGGAACTTTTTTTTTTTTTTTTTTTTGAGATGGAGTCTTGCTCTGTCACCCAGGCTGGAGTGCAGTGGCACGATCTTGGCTCACTGCAACCTCTGCCTCCTGGGTTCAAGCAATTCTCTGCCTCAGCCTCCCGAGTAGCTGGGATTACAGGCACCCATCACCATGCCCAGCTAATTTTTGTATTTTTAGTACAGATGGGGGTTTCACCATTTTGGCCAGGCAGGTCTTGAACTCCTGACCTCGTGATCCACCTGCCTCAGCCTCCCAAAGTGCTGTGATTACAGGTGTGAGCCACCGCACCCGGCCTTTTTTTTTTTTTTTTTTTTGACGAGTCTTGCTCTGTCGCCCAGGCTGGAGTGCAGTGGCGTGATTTCGGCTCACTGCAACCTGTCTCCCAGGTTCAAGCAATTTTCCTGCCTCATCCTCCCTAGTAGCTGGGATTACAGCTGTAATTATACCACATCCGGCTAATTTTTGTATTTTTTTAGTAGAGATGGGGTTTTATCATGTTGGCCAGGCTGGTCTCGAACTCCTGACCCCAGGTGATCCATCTGCCCATTATGGGAACTTCGATAGCTGCCTGGGAAGGTGGTGGTCGCTATTGAGTGATTTGAGATCTCCCTCAGCTCAATTCAGCCAATACTTGGTTGTCTTCCTGGGGCCTCAGTTTCCCCATGTTAAAAGTGGGGAATAAAGATAATTTCTCGTTCACTTAATGATATTCCCTGAGTCTATATCATCATCATCCTTGACTTATTTTTTTTTTTTTTTGCGATGGGGTCTCACTCTGTCACTCAGGCTGGAGTGCAGTGGCACGATCTCGGCTCACTGCAGCCTCCATCACCCGGGCTCAAGCGATCCTCCCACCCTAGCCTCCCAAGTAGCTAGGACCACAGGCCTGTGCCACCACGTCCACCTGGCTAATTTTTTTGTGTTTCTGATGGAGACAGGGTCTCACTATGTTGCCCAGGCTGGTCTCAAACTCCTTGGTCCCTTAAGTAATATAAAGATTTTTTTCTTTTGGAGAAAGAAGGTGCCATTTTCCCCCATTACCCAACAGGATTTGGAAGAGAGTTGCTCAGATAAGGAGATTAGCACAGAGTAGGCAGCTCTTGAACTCAAGAGGGAAATTTATAATTTTACTTGCCGCCTCCAAAGTTACCCTTGGCTTTGTCCTGTTAATGACAATGTCTGATTTGGAAGCCAGCCAGGGCAGAGAACCCCTTCAGCTCATGGCCATCAGGGGTTGGGATTCTGTCCTGGGGGGGTTCCTATGACCCTCAGGGCAGTCCCGTTTCCAGTGGCTGAGCTTGTGGCAAAGGGAACAAGCTATGTGGGGCTTTTCCCCATTTATCCCATGGGGGCAGTTTATCTGCCAGTGGCCTGGCTTCTGGCGCTGATGGCAGTTACCTAGGAGGGGATTCTGAGGGCAACCTGGGTGGGGCTGGAGGGCTTATAAAACAGCCAATAGTTGAGCCTCTCTCTGTTCCCTGCATTTCTCTGTCTCTTTATCCCTGTCCTCCTCATTCTGCTGTTGATTATAAAAGACCTGAGAAGGCTAATTTGAGGATTTCCTGCATAGAGGCACTGGATTCTTTTGGAGAAAGAAAGGCTGACTTTTGTAATTTTCTCCCAGTTCATTTTTAGGCCAAACAGTATTCAAAAGGAAAAGTGGCTTTTTGTTCCAAGATTTGGGTGATCAAACTTCCCAGTTTTTGAGAATGCAGGGGCATGTCCTGACATACGGTGACGTGATTACCCACCTGCAAAGAGAGAACAAAGCAGAAAAAAAAAACAGAAAAGAAGGCATCCTCTTATTTTCCTGTTATCCTTTCCTGAACAGGGCGTTCCTCATTCATCCTTAGGGTTTCGGAATGAACCAGTCTTACTGTGTACCCTTAACCTTGGCCCCATCTCATCATAATTACCCACTGAGAACAGAGGAGATACTGAAGTGAACCGGGGGCTCCCTCTTCATCCTTGGGGTTCCAGAATAAACCAGTTTAACCTGGCCTTCATCTGTGTTCTAATGGTCATCTGTTAGCCTGGGATCAGCCTTCATCTCTGTCCTGCGGGTATTTTTGTCTCCTGTGCCTGTGGCCTTGGGCCAGCCTATGTCCTTGTCTCCATCACCTTATAATGACCCTAGCTTGGAGCATGCTAGCAACAAAATGATTATCCATTTCTGATTCCCATTTCCCAAGTTCTTTTAGTATATGAGAAACCTGTTTTTCAGCCAGCTGCCTCAAGGGGGCTGGACTTCCTTCCCTTTGAATATGACCTTGAGGGTCTTTTTTTTTCTTTTTTTCTTTTTTCTTTTTTTTTTTTGTGACGGGGTTTCGCTCTGTTGCCCAGGCTGGAGTGCGGTGGCGCGATCTTGGGTGACTGCAAGCTCCGCCTCCCGGGTTCACACCATTCTCCTGCCTCAGCCTCCCGAGTAGCTGGGACTACAGGTGCCCGCGACCACGCCCGGCTAATTTTTTGTGTTTTTAGTAGAGACCAGGTTTCACTGTGTTAGCCAGGATGGTCTTGATCTCCTGACCTCGTGATCCGCCCTCCTCAGCCTCCCAAAGTGCTGGGATTCCAGGCTTGAGCCACCGTGCCCGGCCTGACCTTGAGGGTCTTGATGCATCTTGAGAAGGGCATGGAAGTGATTAGAGGAATAGAGGAAAATTTGTATTTGGGGTTCCTGGTCCTGCTGGGGTAACATGCAGAATGAATGCTTAAGGAGGACAGGACAATCCTTCAGTTACAGGAGGAGGTGGGAGGAAGCAAGAGGAATACTCAGGGAAAGCCTTCATCCACTTGCAAAAACAGCAGCCCTTGGATTCGAAAGGGCAACTTTTTTTTTTTTTTTTTTTTTTTTTTTGAGATGGAGCTTTGCTCTTGTTGCCCACACTGGAGTGCAATGGCCTGATCTTGGCTCA
Organism: Homo sapiens; assembly: GCF_000001405.40. Classification (NCBI taxonomy): domain Eukaryota; kingdom Metazoa; phylum Chordata; class Mammalia; order Primates; family Hominidae; genus Homo; species Homo sapiens. The sequence goes on along the minus strand of NC_000022.11, from coordinate 35,368,715 downwards.
TTGCAACTTCCGCCTCCCGGGAGGTGTTTGGTTGGGAGTGACCACAATGCAGGAGGTCAGGGACCCACCTGCCAAGGAAGGCAGGAAGGACCCTGGGCTCCAGGAAGAAGCCTGTTCCTTGGAGACCAGGGCAGGGAGAAGCCTCCTTGCAGGAGAGCTGGCAGGACGGGGCCCCTGGGCAGCTGGGCGTGGTCGGGGGAGTTGGCTAGGAATGGATGAGGAGAAGGTTGAGGGCAGGTTCTCCCTTTCTCTCCCTCCCAGCCGATGCCTGTAGCAGGGTCCTTCTGCCCAGAGCTCAGCCTCAGACCTGTGCAGGAAAGAGAAATGGAATTGGCTGGGAAAGCCCTCTCTGTGCCCCTGTGGAATATGGGGGAGGGATGAAGCTCAAGGTGGCTTTAGAGGCTGTTATGGGAATAACTGAATCCCCTCAAATTCATATGTTGAAACCCTAACCTGGAGTAACTCAGACTATTTGGAGATTGTATTAGGGCATTTATTTATTAATTTTATTCTTTTTTGAGATGGAGTCTCGCTCTGTCACCCAGGCTGGAGTGCAGTGGTGTGATCTCGGCTCACTGCAACCGCCGCCGAGTATCAAGTGATTCTCCTGCCTCAACCTCCCGAGTAGCTGGGATTACGGGCGCCCGCCACCATGCCTCGCTGATTTTTGTATTTTTAGGAAAGACTGGGTTTCACCATGTTGGCCAGGCTGGTCTCAAACTCCTGACCTCAGGTGATCTACCCACCTCGACCTCCCAAAGTGTTGGGATTACAGGCATGAACCACCACACCCCGCCCGTATTAGGGCCTTTAAAGAGATAATTAAATTAAAATGGGGCTGTTAGGGTGAACCCTAATCCAATATGACTGGTGTTCTTATAAGAAAAGATTAGGACACAGACAGGTACAGAAGGGAGGCCTTGTGAGGTCACAGGGAGAAGGTGGCCATCTGCAGGCTGGGGAGGGAGGCTTCTAAAGAAACCAACTGCTTGGCAAGGTGTTAGAGTGCTGGCAGCAGAGAATGGTTGGCTCATGGGTAGTAAGGGGAATTTACCAACAACAGTATAGGTTTGAAAAGGGAAGTTGTATTAGACAGAAAGAACGCTGCAGCAGAGTTCAGCGGGGCGCTTCAGCGAGAGGACTGGGCGTGCCAGGGTAGATTTTCCTTAGAGCCATTTATGGACCTTAAAGCGGGAACTTAAGGGTAATTTGGACCATGTTAGCCGCGTAGGTCACGGTACATGATTACATTTGTAAACATTTCAGTGCCTTGATGTCAGCAAGGGTTGCATGATGAGTTTCTATATGCATGCATTCCAGAGATGTAGAGAAATTCTAATTACTTATACATTTTTAAGAAAGAAGCCTGGCACCAGATGGCTGGCTTCAGATAACAGGAAAGTCTAATTACTTCTCCATTCCTCAGATAAGGAGTTCTGCCTCTGGATGGTTTGTTTGATGGCCACCAGGTGATCTTTGCTCTCATTACCAACCCTGCTAACACCTTGATCTCGGACTTCCAGTCTCCAAAAGTGTGAGAAATAAATTTCCATTATCCAAGCCCCTAGTCTGTGGTACTGTGTTACGGCGGCCCAAGCCAACTAGCACAGGGTCCCAGACTCTAAGACTGGGATTGGCTTTGAATAGAGGGGCTCATTCCAACTCTTCTTTCCTCTCTTCTCTCTTTCTCCCTTTTTATTTTGAAAAAATTTCAGACATACCAATGAGCTGAAAAGAATAGCACCATGAGGCCGGGCGCGGTGGCTCACGCCTGTAATCCCAGCACTTTGGGAGGCCGAGGCGGGCGGATCACGAGGTCAGGAGATGGAGACCATCCTGGCTAACACGGTGAAACCCCGTCTCTACTAAAAATACAAAAAATTAGCCAGGTGTGGTGGTGGGCACCTGTAGCCCCAGCTACTCAGGAGGCTGAGGCAGGAGAATGGCGTGAACCCGGGAGGCAGAGCTTGCAGTGAGCCAAGATTGCGCCACTGCACTCCAGCCTGGGTGACAGAGCGAGACTCTGGCTCAAAAAAAAAAAAAAAAAAAAAAAAAAAATTTAGCCGGGCGTGTTGGCGGGCGCCTGTAGTCCCAGCTACTCAGGAGGCTGAGGCAGGAGAATGGCATGAACCCAGGAGGCGGAGCTTGCAGTGAGCAGAGATCACGCCACTGCACTCCAGCCTGGACGACAGAGCAAGACTCCGTCTCAAAAAAAAAAAAAAAAAAAAAGAATAGAACCATGAACACACCAGTACACCCTCCACCCACATTGCCCATGGTCAGCAGTTTGCTATTTGGTTTTTCTCTTTCTCTCTTTTTTTTTCTTTTTTGTAGCATGTGTTAGAATTTCCTTAATTTGTAAGGCTGAATAATGTTTCCATGTGTGTATGTGTGTGTGTATTCATTTGTATACACACAACACATTTTGTTTATCCTTTCATCCATCAATGGACACGGGTTGCTTTTACCTTTTGGTCATTGTAAATAACGTTGCTATGCATATGGGTTCACAAATATCTGTTCATGTTCCTGTTTTCGATTCTTTTGGATGTATACCCAGAAGTGAAATTGCTTTTTTTTTTTTTGAGACAGGGTCTCACTCTGTCACCCAGGCTGGAGTGCAGTGGCACGATCTCGGCTCACTGCAATCTCCGCCTCCTGGGTTCAAGTGATTCTCCCTCCTCAACCTCCCACATAGCTGAGATTACAGGTGCCCGCCATCACACCCAGCTAATTTCGGAATTTTTAGTAGAGACAAGGTTTCACCATGTTGGCCAGGCTGGTCTCAAACCCCTGGCCTCGAGTGATCCACCCACCTTAGCCTCCCAGAGTCCTGGGATGACAGGCATGAGCCACCACGCCCAGCCTCTCACTTTCACGTTTATGTATTAATTTTTTCAGAGCCATTTGAGAGTAGGTTGTGGACATCATGACACTTCGCTCCTAAGAGCAAGGACATCAATCTATCTTATTATTTGCACATTAAGAAGATCACACAATATTCGTTACTCTCAGTCCAGTCACAATTCCTCAGTTATCTCCAAAACTGTTCTTTAGAGGTCTGCTCTCCCTTCACCCACCATCCAGTCATGTCTTTTGGGTGTGTTTCATGACTTTGACTTGAAGATTGTTTTACAGAGACAGATCAGCTGTCTTAAAAATGTCCCATATTCTAAATTTGTCTTTTTCCTCAAATTAGATTCTAGTTAACCATTTTTGGCAAGAATGCTCTATGGTGATATTAAAGCCCCTCAGTCCGGGCATGGCAGCTCACGCCTGTAATTCCAGCATTTTGGGAGGGTGAGGCGGGCGGATCATGAGGTCAGGAGTTCGAGACCAGCCTGGCCAACATGGTGAAACCCTGTCTCTACTAAAAATACAAAAAGTTAACTGGATGTGGTGGCATGTGCCTATAATCCCAGCTACTCAGGAGGCTGAGGTAGGAGAATCGCTTGAACCCAGGAGGCAGAGGTTGCAGTGAGCCAAGATTGAGCCACTGCACTCCAATCTGGGTAACAGAGCAAGACTCTATCTCAGGAAAAACAAAACCTCTCATAACGGAGGTGATGAAACCAAGGTCCAGCAAGTTGGTGGCAGAGTTTTGATGCATTTTGATACCAGATTATTATTTATTATTATTGGGCTGGGCTTGATGGCTTATGTCTGTAATCCCAGCGCTTTGGGATGCTGAGAGGGGGCAGAACGCTTTAGGCCAGGAGTTCGAGACCAGCCTGGCCAACATGGTGAAAACTCGTCTCTACTAAAAATACAAAAATTAGCTGGGTACGGGGGCATGGTGGTGCACAACTATAATCCCAACTATTCAGGAGGCTGAGGCATGAGGATTGCTTGAACCCGGGAGGCAGAGGTAGCAGTGAGCAGAGCTCGGAGCACTGTACTGCAGCCTGGGAGACAGGGAGACCCTGTTTCAAAAAAAAAAAAAAATATATATATATATATATATATATTATTTGATACAGGGTCAGCCAGGCTGTCACTCTTGTCACCCAGGCTGGGGTGCAGTAGTGCGATCTTGGCTCACTGCAACCTCCACTTCCTGGGCTCAGGTGATCCTCCCACCTCAGCCTCCTGAGTAGCTAGGACTACAGGCACGCACCACCATGCCTGGCTAATTTTTGTAATTTTTGTAGCGACGGTGTCTCACTATGTTGCCATGGCTCATCTTGAACTCCTGGGCTCAAGTGATCTGCCTGCCTTGGCCTCACAAAGTGCTAGGATTACAGGCATGACATAACGTTCCCAGACACTAGATTATTTGCTTGGATTCATGACTCACTGTTTATGTAGTAAAGGAGAAGTGCCTTTGTGTACAGCGGGAGACCCTTGCTAAACAAAGGGAAATGGGATCTTTTTTTTTTTTTGAGACAGAGTTTCGCTCTTGTCACCCAGGCTGGAGTGCAGTGGCACGATCTCTGCTCACTGCAACTTCCACCTCCCAGGTTCAATAGATTCTCCTGCCTCAGCCTCCCAAGTGGCTGTGATTATAGGCTCCTGCCACCACACCCAGCTAATTTTTGTATTTTTAGTAGAGAAGAGGTTTCATCATGTAGGCCAGGCTGGTCTCAAACTCCTGACCTCAGATGATCCACCCACCTCGGCCTCCCAAAGTGCTGGGATGACAGGCATGAGCCACCACACCTGGCTGGGATCTATTGATAGAAATGATACAGTTCCTTTCTTATAAGGCCTGGTGGCTAAAAACATCCCTAGACCTGGTTTTGAATCTCATTAATAACGGGCTGTGTGACCTGAGCAAGTCTTTCAATGTCTCTGGGGCCTCAGTTTTCTTATCTGTAAAATAGGAATAATAACAGTGAAGCTGTCTTCACAGGGTTAAGAAGAACTGAAGCTGTCCTCATAGTGTTAACAAAGATTCTGGACAGAAATATCGTTATAATTAATCAGGCTGCTCTTTGACCCACTTCCTCGTAACCGAAAGTCACGTAGCACTGGATACTGGCTGTTTGCATCTCCACTGTTCCTATTAGGATCGCTGACACTGGAATCATAAGGCTTTTTGATTAAGAATTGCTTAATGGCCAGGCGCAGTGGCTCAGGCCTGTAATCCTAGCATTTTGGGAGGCCAAGGCGCGCGGATCACCTGAGGTGGGGAGTTCGAGACCAGTCTGGCCAACATGGAGAAATCCGTCTCTACTAAAAATACAAAATTAGCTGGGCATGGTGGCGCATGCCTGTAATCCCACTACTCGGGAGGCTGAGGCAGGAGAATCACTTGAACCCGGGAGGCAGAGGTTGCGGTGAGCTGAGATCGCACCATTGCACTCCAGCCTGAGCAACAAAAGCGAAACTCCGTCTCAAAAAAAAAAAAAAAAAAAAAAAAAAAAGAATTGCTTAAGGCCAGGTGCAGAAGCTCATGCTTGTAATCCCAGCACTTTGAGAGCCCGAGGCAGGCAGATTGCTCGAGCCCAGGAGTCGGAGACCAGCCTGGGTAAGATGGCGAAACCTGGTCTCTACAAAACAATTAAAAACTTAGCCAGGCACTGTGGCACACCTGTGGTGGCAGCTACTCAGGAGACTGTGGTGGGAGGATCACTTGAGCCCAGGAAATTCAGGCTGCAGTGAGCCGAGATCACATCACTGCACTCCAGCCTGGGCAACAGAGCGAGACTCTGTCTTAAACAAACAGAAACAAATTGCTTAAGATGGCTCAATGCAGTGGCTCACGCCTGTAATCCCAGTACTTTGGAAGGCCAAGGCAGGCAGATCACTTGATCCCAGGAGTTTGAGATCAGCCTGGGCTATGTGGTGAAACCCTGACTCTACAAAAAGTACAAAAATTAGCTGGGTATGGTGGTGCCTGCCTGTAGTCTCAGCTACTAGGGAGGCTGATGCAGGAGGATCACCTCGGCTCAGGAAGGTCAAGGCTGCAGTGAGCCAAGATTGCACCACTGCACTCCAGCCAGAGATACAGTGTGAGACAGTGAGTATCTCAAAAAATAAAAAATAAAATAAAAAAGAATTAAGATGTTTTTCAGATCCCAAATTCCAGCAAAATAGCTTATGCCAAGTTAGAAGATCTTCACAGAGAAACGATGTCAGCATGAGAATACTGCTTCTTCATCTCCCTGTCTCATGATGACTTCACCCTGCACCCAGCCTAAGAGCCAATTTTAATTAGCTCCAATTTAGAGGAGGAAACAGAGGCTCAGCCGAGTACTCCATCTGGGACAGAGCCCCTTCTGTTCCCCGCAGTGGAAATTGGCAGGGCAGGAGACGTGGGTTGTGGTCCCACCTCTGCCACTCACGCTCACACCATTGGCAAGTCCCCTTTCTCTCTGACTTCAGTTTCCACACCTGCATAACAAGGAAGGGGGTGCTACGGTACCCTTAGGATAGATCCATCCCGCCCTGCTGGGCCACCTGTCACCTGGAGCACCATGCAGGCTCTGCACTGCCCAGCCAGGGCCCATTCACATGGTCCGAGTGTGGACGGCGCCCCTGCAGTTATATAACCCAGTGTCCTGAGTCCTGTGCTCCTCAGAGAGGCCTGGGATATCCATGTCTTTCCTCCTTTGTGGGGCTTGGCTCAAGTTCAAGCTCTGGGCCTGTCCCTCTCTTCCCCACCTCCACTACCTCACTCTGCCCATTCACTTTGGGGAACAGGGAAGGAGGCAGGTAGCAGAGCCAGGGCACTTTTATTTGTCAATAATTGTAAGTATAACTTTTTTTTTTTTTTTGAAATGGAGTCTCGCTCTGTCACCCAGGTTGGAGTGCAGTGGCGCAATCTCAGTTCACAGTAGCCTCTGCCTCGGGGGTTCATGTGATTCTCCTACCTCAGCCTCCTGAGTAGCTGGGATTACAGGTGCCCGCCATCACGCCCAGCTAATTTTTGTATTTTTAGTAGAGACAGAGTTTCACCATGTTGGCCAGGGTGATCTCCAACTCCTGCACTCAGAGGATCTGCCCACCTCAGCCTCCCAAAGTGCCGGGATCTAAAAATACAAAAATTAGCCAAGTGTGATGGCATGCACCTGTAGTCCCAACTACTTGGGAGGCTGAGGCAGGAGAATCACTTGAACCTGGGAGGCAGAGGTTGCAGAGAGCCAAGATTATGCTATTACACTCCAGCGTGGGTGACAGAGTGAGACTCCGTCTCAAAAAAAAAAAAAAAAAACCCCAAGAAACACAAAAAACAAAAAATTGGCTCTTGACCATCATGAGGGCCACCTGTGACAGTGTCTGTGGACCCACTGTGTCACCTGTCCAATGCTGGGAAGTGTTTGCTTCTCAAGGGCTCCCCAGCAGGCAGCTGTGAGAAAGGATCTCTATGAGGGTCCAAGGTCCTCTCTGAAGAAATTCCAGAATGTGCCCTGGACTTCTGGCGAGGCGGCATCCCCTGGGAAGGTGGCATGGGGGCGTGGTGGAAAGCCCCTGGCCTTTGGCATCAGACGGAGCTGGGTGCTGGACTCTGTACTTAACCCATATTGTGACCTCTTCACCCTGCAAAATCTCCATTTCTTTATCAGGAAAATGGGACTAATAATCCCGGCTTACCAGGGCCAGCTGAGATCAGGGGTGTAGGAGCTTCGTGTACCCAGTGTGTGGTACACAACAGGTGTTCAGCTGGGGACTCTTCTTCTCTTTTCAAGGAGAGGGCTGACTCTTGCTGAAAAATCAGTAACCACAGCTGGGCATGGTGGCTCATGCCTGAAATCCCAGCTATTTCTTGGGAGGCTGAGGCAGGAGGATTGTTTGAGGTCAGGAGTTGGAGACCAGCCTGGACAACAAAGCAAGACCCCTGTCTCGAAAAATGAATAATAATTGGGTGGGAGGGGATTGAGGGATGAGGAATTACCTACAGGGTACAATTTACGTTATTTGGGTGAAGGTTAAACTAAAAGCCCAGGCAATATATCCATGTAACAAAAATGCACTTGTGGCCGGGCGCGATGGCTCATGCCTGTAATCCCAGCACTTTGGGAGGTCGAGGCAGGCGGATCACCTGAGGTCAGGAGTGTAAGACTAGCCTGACCAACGTGGCAAAACCCCATCTCTACTAAAAATACAAAAATTAGCAGGGCGTGATGGCAGGTGCCTGTCGTCCCAGCTACTCAGGAGGCTGAGGCAGGAGAATTGCTTGAACCTGGGAGGCAGAGGCTGCAGTGAGGCGAGATTGTGCCACTGCACTCCAGCCTGGGTGACAGCGTGAGACTCTGTCTCAAGGAAAAAAAAAAAAAAGAAATGTTCAGTTTTTTAAACATTGACAATAGACTCAGTTAAAAAAAGAAAAAAAGAGCTGGGCACGGTGGCTCACGGCTGTAATCCCAGCACTTTGGGAGGCTGAGGGGGGCAGATCACGAGGTCAGATGATCGAGACCAGCCTGGCTAACACGGTGAAACCCCGTCTCTACTAAAAATACAAAAAACTAGCCAGGCGTGGTGGTGGGCGCCTGTAGTCTCAGCTACTCGGGAGGCTGAGGCAGGAGAATGGCGTGAACGCGGGAGGCAGAGCTTGCAGTGAGCGGAGATCAGGCCACTGCACTCCAGCCTGGGTGACAGAGCGAGACTCTGTCTCAAAACAAAACAAAACAAAACAAAAAAAACAAAAAACAACAACCACCCTCCACAAGACCTGACATGGCCCTGGGGCCACCACTTTGACTGCTCTGGGTTAGCTGGGTTCTCCGATCCCAGATTGCTTGGTTCCTCTGCAATTCCCGGGGCAGAGTGAGCCTCAGAGATGAGAATTCCTGCCTCCTCTTCCTGGACACATGATCACCGGTGTCAGTGGACATTCCCAGGTCACAGGCTCCCCACACACATTCTGTTCATGCCAAGAGCTCAGGGACCAGTGTCATCCTGTGCTGTGGACATTCCTAGGTCACAGGCTCCCCACACACATTCTGTTCATGCCAAGAGCTCAGGGACCAGTGTCATCCTGTGCTGTGGTCATTCCCACCTAAATGAGGGCATCTGGGGACACAGGACATCAGGGACCAGTCCTCAGGAGTTTCACAGCTGGGCTGGGGTTCATGGAGACTGGAGTCTGGCAGGTTTCCACTACCTCCCTACCTACCTACCTATCTATCCAACTAACTAACCCCTTTTCCCCTGACTATTCCCTGTGGCTGGGAGGACAAGGGCTATGACTCATTTCTCGCTACGTACATCCTCAGAGCCTAGCACACAGTAGGCCCCTAGCAAGCGAGGATGACCGCGGCTACAGCCTCTACAGAGAAAAGAGGCAGGATTTGAAGCTCTAAAAATGGAGCCCAAATTTCTGAGCTTGGGAGATGAGGCTGAACCAAAGCAAATCGGGATCAAAGGAGAGAGTGGGCCTAAGTGTTTGCCTTAACTGCCAATCAGATTTTTAAAAAAGTAACCTGCTCAAAACCACACAGCTGGTAAGTTGTGAAGCCTGAGAGATGGTGCTTGTGTGTGTGTGGTTTTTTAAATTAATTGTAGTAAAATATACATAACATTTACCATTTTGATCACTTCTTTTTTTTTTGAGACGGAGTTTCGCTCTTGTCACCCAGGCTGGAGTGCAATGGCATGATCTCAGCTCACTGCAACCTCCACCTCCCGGGTTCAAGTGATTCTCCTGCCTCAGCCTCCTGAGTAGCTGGGACTACAGGCACGCACCACCATGACCAGCTAATTTTTTGTATTTTTAGTAGAGACAGTGTTTCGCCATGTTGGCCAGGCTGGTCTCAAACTCCTGACCTCAGGTGACCCACCTGCCTCAGCCTCCCAAAGTGCTGGGATTACAGGAGTAAGCTATCACGCCTGGCCCATTTTGACCACTTCTAAGTGTAAAGTTCAGTGGCATTAAGTACATTCCCACTGTACAACCATCACCACCATCCATCTCCAGAACTTTTCCATCATCCCAGACTAAACCTCTGTACCCATTAAACAATATGCCAACTAGATTTTATAGCTTAATTTATGGATCAGTGTCGGGGGGCTGGCCAGGTGAGATGGCTCCTATTGAAGGTGGTGAGTGCCCTGTCACTGGAGGTATGCAAGCATGGGATACGGGTTGGCTGAAACAGCACCATCAGTCTGACTCTACGTGAGTCTTTATGAGGTTTTTGTTGGAGGGGGAGACAAAAAGCCTTACATATTGCTAACTAAGCTGGGAGGTTTTCCTGTGTATTTTTTTTTTTTTTTAGTATGTGTGTGTCCCAGAGGTCATGATATGACTGGCAGTTACCTGTATCAAAAACAAACTGTCCAATAGTGAGGCTTCATCATACATCACACAACCTCCCATCTTGTCAGGCCAGTCTGAGACCAGTGCCCAGGCAGGGCAACTTCCTTCTCACTCGTGCTCCTGCCATCACCTTCCAGAAACGTCTACGAGCCCCCTTCCTCCTCTGCAAGTGAGGTTGGGTTGGGGAGTGCAGTGTATGGCAATGTGGTGGACACTGTTGATTGTCTACTCAACAGCCATCTCCTCTTCCCCTAGGTAACAGAACCCCAATTTGTTTGGGATCCAGATGGAATCATAGATTTAGGGAGGGTGTGCCCAGTGCCAGAGGTGAGTCATGGTTACTCTGAGGCAGAGATTCTAAGCCATCCTGTGGTCATCCCATTCCTCTTTGCCAGCGTAATTGTGCAGGTGGATTCCATTGTGCCGGATGAATGACCAGTCAGGAAGTTAGAGTAGCTTGTCTGAGGAGGTGACACAGTAGCTGAGCCCTGAAGGATGAATGAGTTAAGTCAGGTGGCCTGTTTTAGAGGAAATAGCACATACAAAGGCCCTGTGGTCAGGGCATGAAACTTTTTTTTTTTTTTTTTGAGATGGAGTCTCACTCTGTCGCCCAGGCTGGAGTACAGTGGTGCGATCTCAGCTCAGTGCAACATCCACCTCCCAGGTTCAAGTGATTCTCCTGCCTCAGCCTCCCGAGTAGCTGGGATTACAGGCATGCACTACCACGCCCTACTAATTTTTGTATTTTTAATAGAGATAGGATTTTACCATGTTGGCCAGGCTGGTCTCGATCTCCTGACCTCGTGATCCACATGCCTCAGGCTCCCAAAATGCTGGAATTACAGGCGTGAGCCACTGTGCCCAGCCCAGCATGAAACTTTTGAGGTGGGAAAGACAGCCTGTCTGGAGTGCAGAGAACCTGAAGAATGTGGCAGGGGACAGACTCCAGGGGCCCTGGAGGCCAGGCCAGGAGGTGGGTCTTTAGCCTGAGAGCAAGTGAAAGGTTTTAGGTGTGTGTGTTGGGTTTTGGGGGTGTGGGTATTGTAAAACATGGTCGGATTTGCCCTTTGAAATATATTTTCGGCTGGGTGCAGTGGCTCATGCCTGTAATTCCAGCACTTCGGGAGGCTGAGGTGGGAGGACCACTTGAACCCAGGAGTTGGAGACCAGCCTGGGCAACACAGTGAGACCCCATCTCTGCAAAAATATTTTTTAAAAAAATGACAGCTGGGCGTGGTGGGTCACGCCTGTAATCCCAACACTTTGGGAGGCCGAGGCAGGTGGATCACCTGAGGTCAGGACTTCGAGACCATCCTGACCTCAATATGGTGAAACCCTGTCTCTACTAAAAATACAAAAATTAGCTGGGTGTGGTGGCACGCGCCTGTAGTCCCAGCTACTCGGGAGGCTGAGACAGGAGAACTGCTTGAACCCGGGAAGTGGAGGTTGCAGTGAGCCGAGATCACACCACTGCACTCCAGCCTGGGTGACAGAGCAAGACTCCCTCTAAAAAAATAATAATAAATAAAATAAATAAATAAAAATAAAAATTAGCTGGGCGTGGTGGTATGTGCCTGTAGTCCTAGGTACTCAGGAGGCTGGGTGGGAGGACCGCTTGAGCAGGGGGTAGGGGAGAGGGGACGGGGGAAGCCGAGGTTGCAGTGAGCTGCAATCATGCCGCGGCATTCCAATCTGGGCAACAGAGCACGACCCCATTTCTTTAAAAAAAAAAATGAAATGTATTTGGCAGCATGTGAAGAAGTCACTGAGGGAAGGGCAGAGTCCTCCCCTAACTTCACGTCCAGTAAAAGCCCAAAGTCCTCCTGAAGGTTCCGGCAATCCCTGGTACTTGTGTTTTCACCACTTCCCCCACCCTGCTGTCCCAGCTTCTTCCTATTTCTGCTCTGAACTGTGCTGACTCAGACATGAAACTTGCTCCTTCCCCAGTTCCCCAAAACCCTACTCTTTTTTTATTTTTTTTGAGACGGAGTCTCACTCTGTCGCCCAGGCTGGGGTGCAATGGCGCCATCTCTGCTCACTGCAACTCCACCTCCCGGGTTTGGGCAATTCTCTTGTCTCAGCCTCCCAAGTAGCTGGGATTACATGCGCCCGCCTCCACGTCTGGCTAATTTTTTGTATTTTTAGTAGAGATGAGGTTTCACCATGTTGGCCAGGCTAGTCTCGAACTCCTGACCTCAGGTGATCCATCCGTCTCTGCCGCCCAAAGTGCTGGGATTACAGGGGTGAGTCACCATGCCTGGCCCAAAACCCTACTCTTGACAAATACTTATGAGCAGAGCATTTACTAAAGATCTCAGGGCCACAGAGAGGGGTGACATTAGACAGAACCTAGAGAACAATCTAATACAGCATCTGTTCTTCCGAATCTTTTTTGGCTACTCCTCTCCCTTCCCTCCCTCTACCCCAGTAGTTGACCTCTGATCCTCCCCCAACTCTTTGCCTGGGGCCCAGTAGCTCACCCTCTCCTGCCTTCTCTCTCTTCCCTTTCCCCGTTCTTGTCTCTGTGCTCTCAGGCCCTCTTCCAGATGGCCCGGTAGGATTCACCTCCCTCTTAAGAGCAGAGCAGTCCAGCTGTCTCCAGCTCCCTCCCCAAGCTTGCAGATCCAAAGTCCCTGTGCACAAACATGGACATGAGAGAGCTTCCTTTTCTCCAACCATTGTCTTCAACCATGCCCAGCCTCCACCAGGGTCCTTTGTGACATCTTGGGTGGTTTTGCTAACTTTCTTGTCATTTTCAAGTACAAAAAAGTCCAATCTTGGCGCAGTGGCTCACACATGTAATCCCAGCACTTTGGGAGGCCGAGGTGGGTGGATTGCTTGAGCTCAGGAGTTTCAGACCAGCCTGGCCAACATGATGAAACCCTATCTCTGCTACAAACACAAAAATTAGCCAGACATAGTGGCACACGCCTGTAATCCCAGCTACTTGGGTGGCTGAGGCAGGAGAATCACTTGAACCCAGGAGGCAGAGGCTGCAGTGAGCCGAAATAGCGCCACTACACTCCAGCGTGGGTGACAGAATGAGATCCCATCTCAAAAAAAAAAAAAAAAGTCCAGTCTTGAAGTTTAATCTCACATCGAATTTGATATCCCCTCCTCCCTCCCCTTAGCACTTCAGGAGGGTATGGCCAGCTCCTTCACTCTCCCTTCCTTGCCTCTGTCTCCTGGGTCCCTGTGTTGCAGAGTTGAGGTGAGGGGATGGGAGGGCAGAGCCATGTTTACGTGGGGACGGTGCAGAAGCCAGGGTGGCCGTCGATGGAGATGCCCAATGCGTGTGAAGGCCAAGGCTGGCAGGAGCCGTGGGGGAGCCCCTGGCCAGCAGTGAGCATGGCTATCTTCAGCTCCTGCCCTTTTGGGTTGGGGTTCTGCTCCAAACAGTGGGTGGGCCCAGAGGGGCTGGGCAAACAGAGGCTGTGCTGTTAGTTCCCTCAGATGAGGCTGCCCAGGCAACTGGAGCACTTTTGGATGGAACGAGATACTGCATTGGTGTATTAAAAGTCTGATTACTGCCGGGCGCAGTGCCTCGCACCTGTAATCCCAGCACTTTGGGAGGTCGAGGTGGGTGGATCACTTGAGGTCAGGAGCTCGAGACCAGCCTAGCCAACATGGTGAGACCCCATCTCTACTAAAAATACAAAAATTAGCCAGGCGTGGTGGCATGTGTCTGTAATCCCAGCTACTTGGGAGGCTGAGGCAGGAGAATCACTTGAACCCGGGAGGCGGAGGTTGCAGTAAGCCGATATTGCGCCACTGCACTCCAGCCTGGGGGACACAGCGGGACTCTGTCTCAAAAAAAAAAAAAAAAAAAAGTCTTGATTACTGATGCCCAAAAGGGAAAAATATTAACAACTCAATGCATTGTGGAATGTTTTGTGGCCAAAAATCAAAACAAACAAAACTCTTCTAAATCCATAGTCTTGGGGAGAGACCATGATAGAAGATTTCCTTGGGGAGAGAAGGTTTTAGAACCCACTGGCCTAGTTGGTCTCTGAGGCTGAAAGTTCTGTGGGAGCCCAGAGCACGGTGCAGGGTGCTGGGGAGGGCCTTCTGAAGACAGACTTCCCAGCTGTCCTCCATTCGCCCACCTCCTGCGGGGCAGGTGCTATGGAGGACCGGGATTCTAGTTTCAGTTCTTTTACAAATTTGCTGTGTGGCCTTGGGCAAGTCTCTGCACTGGTCTGGGCCTGAGAAGGGATCCTGAGGGAGGGCCCCATCTCAGCAGCCAGCCTTCTCCCTGCAGGGGTCCAGTGGCCTCTGCAGCCTAAGTGGCTTGCAGGGCTCAGGGCTACTCATACAGATAATGTACACAGTGACTTTTCTAGCCCCAAGGCAGACCTAGGCGCAGCCCCAGGCCCAGAATAGAGTGCACTTCATCCTGATCCCCCAGGGACCTTTTCTCCCCAGAAAAGAGGACTCAATGTTTCCACTTGCCGGCTGTGTGGCTTTGGATTAGCTAGTTGACTTTTCTGACCTCACCCCCTCCTTTGTAAAATGAAGATTCTTTTTTTTTTTTTTAATTTGTATATTTTTTGAGATGGAGTCTCACTCTTGTTGCCCAGGCTGGAGTACAGTGGCGCGATTTCGGCTCACTGCAGCCTCCGCCTCCCGGGTTCAAGCGATTCTTCTGCCTCAGCCTCCCTGGTAGCTGGGATTACAGACACCCACAACCACGCCTGGCTAATTTTTGCATTTTTAGTAGAGACAGGGTTTCGCCATGTTAGCCAGGCTGGTCTTGAACTCCTGACCTCGGGTGATCCACCCACCTCGGCCTCCCAAAGTGCTGCGATTACAGGCGTGAGCCACTGCGCCTGGCTGAAGATTCATTTTTAACAGAGCTTCCAAGGGCTCCAGTGAGGGCAGGGTCCTGTGGGGAGCATGGGCAGCACCCCCATTCCTCAGTTC
This sequence comes from Homo sapiens, assembly GCF_000001405.40. Taxonomy (NCBI): domain Eukaryota; kingdom Metazoa; phylum Chordata; class Mammalia; order Primates; family Hominidae; genus Homo; species Homo sapiens. Next base: position 35,353,591 of record NC_000022.11, on the reverse strand, counting down.
ACCCACTTGCTTTTCCCTTTCCTAGGGGTACCCCAGGGCAGGTGCAAGGATGTCCCCGGCTTGGGTTTCGCTTCCCTCCTGCCCCTAGGCGGTCAGCTTCCTGTGCGGGCATTCAGCAGGGTGTGTGGGTGGCCGCCTCCACCCATTGGTCCCACTGAAGCTTGGGCAGTTGTTTCCCTATCGCCGCTGGTCCTGGAGGGGAGATAAACCCGGGGTCCTGCTTCCCTCTCTTGTAGATATTTGAGTTTCTTTCCTCGTATTTCTTTCCTTTTTGGAAGGAGGATTATGGAATTTGGGGGTTGATAGGGCAGAAAAGCAGAGTGCAAAGGGGCCTTACGCTCTCTTAAATCAAGCCGATTAACAGATGGGGAAACTGAGGCCCAGAGAGAGGAGAAGGCTTGCTCCAAATCAAACAGGAAGTCAGTGTCTGTGCACCGCTGGAAGCTCGGTTGGCTGACTCCTGGGCCGTGCTTGGACCTGACACAGGGGGCCCCAGGAGTCCCCACCCTCCACCCTGCACTGACTTCCCTGTGCTTGTGCGTGGGTGGGGGCTGCTTCCTCCCCGGGCAGGCTGGGCTGGCACACAGAGCCTCCTGGGCCCCTGCACCAGGTAGGGAGGCAGTACACTGGTCAGGGCAGGCCCCTCCCCTCCCTGGGCCTCCACTTCCCTGTCTGCACATTTCTCACCCGCCTCAAGAGGTCCAAGTGCCCTGCCAACCTGACTCTGACCCACTGGGGATTTGGGGCCCTGGTCAGCTTGGGTTCCTTCCCTCTGCTGGCCAGCCTGGTCCACGGTGCACAGAGGGTGCAGGGCCAGCCTGCAGCAGGGGCAGGAAGACGTCACGGGAGTCCTGAGTCAGAGGCAAGGGGTGAGGATTCGGCCCGGCGAAGCTGCTTCCTCCAGTCTCGCCCTGTACCAGGGTGGGTGGAAGTGAAACCTGCCAGCTTACCCGCTTGGGTCTGCTCTGAAAAAACAAGCGGACATGGGGACCAGGAGAGCAGCCCCAGCCCAGCTCCCAGCACCTGTATCTCCCTCCACTCTGCCGGCACCCCTGCTCGCTCCTGGTCCCATGGCTAATCCTTGGATCTAAGGCTAGGCTGCCCTAGGATGAATCTAGCCACCCTCAAACTCCCACTAGGGCAGGGGGCAGGGGGCAGGGAGTGGAGGCGGGTGTTTCATGTGGCAGCCCCTCTGAAGACACTGTGGCCACCTGCGAAAGAGCAGTGTGTCTGGGAGAATGGACCCAGGGCCTAGAGGGCAGCAGAGGGCAATACAGGGCTGCTTCGTCCCTTTGAATTCATACGTTGAATCTCTAATCCCTAGTATATCAGAATGCGATTGTATTTGGAGGTAGGACCTTTAAAGAAGTGCCAGGCACTGTGGCTCACACCTGTAATCCCAGCACTTTGGGAGGCCGAGGCGGGTGAATCACACGAGGTTGGGAGTTCGAGACCAGCCTGGCCAACATGGAGAAAACCCGTCTCTACTAAAAATACAAAATTAGCCAGGTGTGATGGCGCATGCCTGTAATCTCAGCTACTCAGGAGGCTGAGGCAGGATAATTGCTTGAACTGGGAGGCGGAGGTTGCAGTAAGCCGAGATCGCGCCATTGCACTCCAGCCTGGGCAACAAGAGTGAAACTCTGTCTCAAAAAAAAAAAAAAAAAAAGTGATTAAGGTACAATAGGTACAATAGATCATTAGGTGGACTCTAATCCTTGATGAATGCTGTCCTTATAAAAATGGGACTTTTGAACATAGAGAGATGCAGAGGGGATATGATGTGAGGCCCCAGGGAGAAGATGACCATATACAGCCACGGAGGGGCCGGAAGGAACCAACTGAACAGATGGAGTCCACGTCCTTGATGTTGAACTTCAGCCTCTAGAACTGTGAGAAAGAAGATTTCTGTGTCTAGGGGCCTGTCTGTGGGGCAGGGTGGTGGCGGTCCACGCGGAGAGGGTGGGAGGCACTGGCAGGACGGGGCAGTGGTGGCAACAGAGATTGGTTTCTGCGGGGATGGGGGGAGAGAAGGAATGAAGGACGGCGGGAAGCAGGTTTCTCACTGCTGGAGAAGGGAATTAGACATAGGGGAAGGGCGGAAAAGAGAAGGAATCTGTGGTAGAGCTGGAGTTACTGGGCGAGCTCATGATTTGTCTACACGTGGAGACAGAAACGGCAATGCACACGGATCTGAGCGTGTCGGCTGAGAAGGCGCGGGAGCAGGGGGCCCCAGCAACGGCACACCGGGGCTCTGTAAAGAGAGGGAGGGGACCGGGCTCACTTTTGCCCACCCAAAGCTCCCGTAGCTGAGCTCCCAGCTTGTCTCACCAAATCCTCCCCACAACCCTGTGAATCGGGACGTTTAAGAAGATCTGAGGCTTCCAGAGATGAAATCCCTTGTGTAGTCCCACAGCAGAGCCCGGCGGTGAAGCCAGACCCTCGGACTCCAGCTCCCAGCCCCATCACCATTGTTACTCAGCCCCACCAGTCAGAGGGCGTGTGCGCGTGTGTGTGTGCACGCGCGCGCCTGTGAGCTCGCGCGGGGCAGGAGCGGGCAGGAGCCGGCAGCACCCGCCCCTTTCTCCCGGTGTCTGTACCCGGGAGGGGCTGATTTGGCCGCGGTGGACTCCACCCTAGTGCCCCGGCAAGCCCTGTACATGCAGTGCTACTGCCATCTCGTGGTCGCCTTGAAACACTGACCCTGAGCAGGGGCCGTAGACCGTGCTCAGGACTCAGAACTGGGCCTACCTCCAGCCACCTTGGAGCGGGCAAAGGCTTCCTAAAGCGCCTACCGAGAGCCCGCAGAGCCCAATCCAGGAACGCCAGGGGGACCCTGCCGTGTTGCCAGGATCAAGACAGCCCTGACCCTCTTAGGGTTAGCAGCCCAGACCAGGAGGAAAGACAGACACAGTCCTTTGGTTCTCTCCCAGTGGGGAGTAGGGACAGACGTTATTCTGGAGCTGGGAAGGCAATACCAGAGGCAGAGCAGGGGTCCCTAGAATTACTGAGGAGTCTGAGGGGCAGGGCTCTGAGCCAGGTGTCTGGAGCAGAGGCCATTCTGGAAGGGAGCAGGGAACCATCCGTGACAATAACAACATGTACAGAGCATTGTCTACATGGCAGGTGCTGAGTTACTTGTTGGCTCAGTCAACCCTAACAACCCTATGAGGCAACGAGTGTTATCTGCCCATTTTACCAGTGAGAAAACAGAAGCACAGAAAGGTTAAGTAATTTGCCTAAGGTCACACAGCCCAGAAGTGGCCGGTCTGGGAGGTGGGTACTGACACTAGGGCAGGAGGTGGAGGGGTCGGTGTCCAGGCCCAGGGTGGGATCGTGGTGGCCCAGGGGAGCCAGGAGGGAGAGGGCTTGGTGGAGGCTCTGCAAAAGGCTTCCTCAAAGGCAGGCCTGGGGCTGCCCCCCAGGCGCCCTTTCCCCTGCCCACCAGCCCCTCCCAGCTCCACTCAACCCCTCCCCTCCATGCCCCCGGCCCAGCGCCTTCCGATGTAGCTGGGCCCAGCGGGAGCGGCGGCACCTCGTTAATCCTGCCCTGTGGTGCCAGGTGGAGGCCCTGCTCCTACCCAAGGCTCCCACCAGACAGCTGGCCCTCATTTTCTTGGGGCCAAGACTTCCTGCAGCTGTAAAGTGATCCCGCCCAGGCCTGCAGCCTCAGACAGAGCCTGCTGCCAGGGAACCCAGCCTGACTGCACTGATGAATTCCCGCCAGCGCCCCCCCCCCCAGCCCCCATGCAGCCCCAGCAGCCTTCTCTCTGAAGGAGGCCTTCAGGCAGCCTGGAACTGTTCCAGCCAGCCAAGCCGAGACCTCTGCAGGGGCCACCTCCTGCCTGGCATTCAAGGCCCTTCATGGCCCAGCCCACCCCATCTTACCTCAGCAGCCTTAGGCCGTCCTCACAGAGAGCCTCCTGGCCCTGGGCGTCCCGTCCCATCTTCTTCTTTTCACAGCGTGAAACAATGATTGAGTTTATGTCTGTCTTTCTCGTCCCTTTCCCTCCCACGTGACCCCACAGGGCTGGCACCTGGCCGCTTCACTTCTGTCTGGCGGGCACCTAGCGCTATGCTGTGTGCAGCTGGCTCCCAGGGGATGCACCCACAGGGAGGAATGAACAACCTGGCAGTTTTCACCCTTAGCACCTGAGGCCCTCCCAGCCCTGGGGGCCTTCTGTGGAAGTTTCCTTGGGTTTCCCAGCTAACACAGGGGAGAGGAGGCCTTGGCTTTGATCCTTGTAAAATCACAACTCCCCTCTAAGAGGTCCCCAGTTAAGTAGGGAGAGAATGAGGGAAGCAGGCAGTGGGGTGTGGGTGGGGCAGGCAGGTGAGGCAGCAGTGAGGAAGGTTGGGGGTCCCAGTCTTCCATTACTTAGTGTATGACCAGGCAAGTCCCTTCCTCCCTCAGCCTCAGTTTCCCCATTTGTAACTGGTGGCCAACACCATTGACCCCCTGGGGCTGTTGTGAGGTACTGAAAGGGCTGGGCCAGGGTAGGGCACCTGGCAGGAGCTCACAGATGCCCTGGATGTGGCAGAGGGAGCTTGGCCTGGACCATGAGCATCCTGATGGCGGCAGGGCCTCCCCCTCCCCTGCCTGGCACCAGTGTGCCTGCCCCCAGCTGCTTTCCTTGCCCCAACTCCATCTTGAGGGCTGGGCTGGGCCTGGTCTCCTGTATGCCCAGCTCCAGACCATACCTCAGATGGCAGGTGCTGCCTGCCCACTGCCCATGGGAATCAGTGGCTGCTCACACAGACCTCGGCCCTCTCCCAGGAGCCCAGGACCCTGTGGACCCAATTGCTTTGGCCTCACACCGTTCCCCGACCGTGTCCTGGGCCAGGAGGCTCCAACATGCCTCAGCAGTGACTCCCAGGGAGTCTGGCCTAGAGATCCCACACCTGAAAAGGTGGCACCCTAAGACCTGGGGCTCTTGAGCTGCCATGGAGGGAAGAGCTGACCCCCTGCACCTGACCTGGGGCCCAGCGTCTGGAACTGTGTGCCATGTCTTCCCAACTTAGCTTTGGTGCCTGGAAAATGGGGAGGATGCGCTTCTGCATGAGGAAATGCTGGCACATGACAACTGCATGAGCTTCCTCCTCTGAGCTGGGCGGCTCATGGAGTCCTAGTCTCCGCATCTATACATCGAGGACGCTCACTTTGCTTCTCCCAGGCTGTTGTGATGCTACGAGCCAGTGCGTAGCCCCAGGCTGTGCCTGGCACCCAGCCTCGGAAGGCCAGCATCCTCCTGTGGCCTGTGCACCCCACATGCGCACACAGTCCACACAGGTCCCCGCCCTTGTGATTAGTGTGCTCTGTGCAGGGCAGGAGCTGGCCTCATGGAACAGCAGCACGAAGGTGCCTTGAGGAGGGAGGGGTGTCAGCTGGGGAGGGCATGCATCCTCCGGGCAGGGGCGGTGGCTGGAGCCTGCCATGTGAGGTGGGAGGAGGCGGCACCTGCGTAGTGTAGCTGGGTGTTTGCTCCTGTCCTTCCGCCTGCACCATCTACAGATGCTCACCTCTCGGATGGCCCCCAGCCCTGCCCAAAGTAGTCGCTGCCTCTGTGAGGCCAAGAAGTCATTTCTGACCAGGAGACTTGACAATGCTGCTAGCAGGGTGGTTTTCTACCTTTAATTGGGGATACAAAAGGCACCTCTCCCAGTACAAGAGGATCAACCAAGAGGTGAGCCCCAGTGCTGTGGTGCCCGGCCAGAAGGAACAGAGGAAGGATGGAGGGCAAGGCAGCGGAGGGGCAGTGGGGCCCCAGCATCCCCTGAAGCCTCACCTGCAGCCTGGGGCTGATGAGATCTCGCCCACTGCGCGCAGAGTTGCAGCTTCGTACCTGGGCCGCCGCAGCTCCTCAGGGGGCCTCCACACCTCCACACCCTACCCTCAGTGGCCAGCCAAAGCCATGGGGCCCCATGCAGCAGAGCAGGGAAGGGACAAGAGGCTCGGCAGAATTTCCACTGTGGCCAGCCTCCAGCCAGGCCTCGACTGGCAGTGTGGGCTCTGAAGGGCTCCTTGGGGCATGGGCCCGGAGCAGGGTATCACTCAGTGAAGGAGAGTCACACTGGGTCAAGCAGCCAGCCAGCCAGCCAGCCTGTCCTGGGGCCTCCACTTCTCAGCAAAGTCTCATGGTCAGCTGGGGTGGGAAAGGAGGCAGAGCAGCCAGATCCCACTGCAGCGCAGACCTGTCCCCCAGTTCATCCCACTGCCTCCACACCCCCAGCCACAGCTGGGGCAGCTCCGTCTTCAAAGAGGAGGAAAAGGGGGTAACAAGCCACCCCCAAAGCAGCCTTAACACCAGAGGAGGGAGGGAGGTCCCAGCCTAAGGGTGTGAGAGCAGTGGGGACCTGGGCTGCAGGGTGCCAGACCCCACACTCATAAGGCAAACAGCATGTCATCATCTTTCTCCTGGGTCTTCTTCCGGGGCGCTGGGCCAGATGGGGGACCCGGGGGCCCCTCAGCTGAGGGGCTGGAGAGGTTGGGCAATCGGTCCGCGGCTTTGGCCCGTTCTTCCAGGAATTTGTCAAATTCTAGAGGAAGGGGAGAGGGTGAGGGTAGGCCCTGAGGCCAGAGCCCTGGGGAAAGGAGAGGGCGGGCAGGGGCGGGGACTACTACCTTCGCTGGTGACCCCCTTAGGCTCTTCCGCATCATTACCCTGGGAAGGTAGAAGGAAAGGAGGCAGAGGTTAGCCGGGCCCCCAGTACGGTCAGCCTGGGGCAGTGGTGCTGCAGCTCGGGCCCCGCTGAACCTCAGCACTGGGTCCCAGCTCAGGCTCTGCACGCCCCCACCACCCAGGTCCCAGGACCTGGACCTGGGCTCCTCCCTGAGCCGTAGGACCTTCCTTGGGTGGCACCTGACTTCCTGAGCCTTGTGTTTTCCTTCTGTAAAATGGGGGCGGGGTGGGGGCTGAAGCTAACTTGGAGGGTTGCTGGGAAGCTGAAATGGGATAACACACAGCACGCCAAGCCCAGCACCTGGTGCCCAGTGGGACCTTGATGAGTGCTGGTTCCTTTCCTTGGAGGGTCACAAGGGGTGGGTGGTCCTCACCCCTGGGGGGGAAAGGCTGACATCCAGAGGCTGAGGGCCATTCATGCTAACACTGCAAACTAGGGAGGGGGTGAGGCTTCTGCCACCAGACAGAAAGCCTGAGTCCTTGGTCTGTGGCTTAGTCCTGGGCAGAAATGGTCTCTTCACCTGCAGAAGGCGGCTTCTGGGCCTGAAGTGCCCATGTGGGCCTTGGTGCCCAGAGACGGGGTGGCAGATGCTGCGGTAGGAGCCCTGGACGGAGAAGCTGAGTCTGGCCCTGCCCCTTCTGCTCCCTGGGAGGGTGGCAGGGCTTGGGGTCCCCATGACTGGCACCCGCCCTCCTCCTCCTGGGTGCTTCCCCTTAGAGGACAGCTGCTTATCGGTCTTCTGATCTGTAAACAGGGTGGTGATGGGTTCCCTCTGCAAGTGGCTGGAGTCTTCTGAGCTACTGCAGGTAAGAGCCTGGCGCTGTTATGCTTCCTCGGTTAGCCTCTCTAGCCTGGCCTGATGTCCCTAAGGTGGGCTGACACCCACTGGGACCTCACCTTGGGAGCAGGCTCTGGGAAGCAGCCGAGAGGCTACTGTGCCCAGGACTTCTCTGGGGGGCGTGCCAAACACAAGGTGGGCAGGTGGCAGGAGATGGGGACTTTAAGTGTGCCCCTCTGCTCTCAGGGTGCTATATGCTATATAAGTCTACCCTGGCCCCATGGGTCATTTCTTGGTGAGAACAACGGGTCCTCCTGCTGTGTGGGTGAGGAGTGGGCCCCAACATACCACGTCAGTGGACAGCCACTGCTCGATGTCCTCCATGAGGCAGGCCTGGGTGACTGGGATCTGGAAGGAAGGGCAGAGGGTAAGGCAGTGCCCTAGGTGACAAGGTGGAAGACGTGCCAGCTCAGCACCCTGCAGCTGGGTGGCCCTGGGCAGCCTCCCACCCCAGCCTCAGCTGCCTAGCTGCCCGGACCCACCACTGGGCCCGCTGTGCCAGGCTGTGGGTGATGGAGGTGCAGAGCCAGGAGACTAAGCAGGGGACCAGGCTCCCAGCAGCTGGAGCAGGGCCAGGGGTCAGAGGGAGCTCCTTCCCCTTGAAGAGAAGAACCCCAGTTCCGACACACCCTTCGGGTAGGATTCTAGGCTGGAGGAGGGGCTTTGGGCAATGGCCTGGGGCAGGGGCTATGCTGCAGGTGCTCAGGAGCATCTGACAAAAGACACGCCAAGCCCAGGGTCAGACCCCAGGCATTTTCTCCAGCCGTGAAGGCTGGGATGGGGACATGGTTAGTGGGCCAGGGGTCCCCAGGTTCCATCCCCTGGTGTCTCTGCAGACGCAGATTTCATGATAGAAGGGGGCATAGCAGGGCCTGAGAGCAGAGGCGCGAAGTTAACCAGACAAGGCCAGGTGGGTAGACCCAGAGGGGCGGTGCTACAGATGGGGACATTTCACTTTCGGCCACAAAGACATGGGCTGTGCCACGATGGCTCCCACACAGGGGCAGGAGTTGGAGGCTTTCCTCTCTAACGGCTTCTGCAGGGGCAGACTCCAGTTGGAGGTCATGGGCACAGACTTCAGAGTGAGAAAGAGCTGGACCTAGCTCACCCCTTAACACAGTGTGACTCTGAGTGGGTTACTTAACTTCTCTGCGCCTGATTTCCCTCGTCCTTAGGGTGAGGCTAGCAGCAGTACTTACCGTCCAGGTGGCTGTGAGGATGAAATGGGATGTCAAAAGCTTAGCACAGGGCCTGGCATGGAGGAGATGCTCAAGAAACCAATAGGCCAGTTCCTATTTACTATTAATCAGTAATGGCACTAATAGCACTAGTTACTAGTGAGCTACTTTGGAAAAGACAGACAGAGTCTTTCCCCAACCAGGCCAGTTTGGTTTCCAAGCTCTGTCACCCAGCACCTGAGGACCCCCCAGGCAGGAGCAGAGCCCAGAGAGAAGGCAGGAGCCGACTTCCCAGCAGCAGTGGCAACAGCAAGTGCCCAGCTGTGCACACCGGCTCCGTCTCCCGCTCCGCTATCCCCATCGCCTCTTAGCTGCCAGACGGGCTACCTTGTCCTTGCCCGAGACTCAAGAGCAGGAACCGGGCACAGAGGAGCTGCGGAAGCTGGGCTGGCCGGGCCAACCCGGAAACAGCCTGAGCCCTGGGGTCCCGCAAGACCCTCAGCTGCCCCTCCTTGCTCCTCTGGGCCTTCTCCTGGGTCCCACTCCCTTGGAGAGCAGCACGGTGCCCCACGCCCATGCCTGGCAGGAGCCCTGCGAGCACCCCCAGCTTTCCGGGTGGCCGGGCCTGGCCCCTGCTCACCATGCCTTGTCTCACCATCCAGTCACTGAGGCTTTTCCCGCAGCCGCCTCCCATCTGGGTGAGAGAGAGTCACGCTGATGGCGGAGGGACGGCAGCGCCAGGGCCACTGGAGGGCGCGGCTTCTAACAGGGGTGCGCCTTTCGGGTCAGGAGGCCTGCTGCCACTTTGGGAGGCGTGTGTGTGTAGGGGTGTGTGTAGGTGTGTAAGGGTGTGTATGTAGGTGTATGAGTGTAGGTGTGTGTGTAGGTGTATGAGTGTAGGTTTGTATGTGTAGGTGTAGGTTGTGTAGGTATAGATGTATGTGGTGTGTGTAGGTGGTGTGTGTAGATGTGTGTGGTGTGTGTAGGGGTGTGTGTGCAGGTGTGTAGGTGTATGAGTGTGTAGGGGTGGTATATGCAGGGGTGTGTATGTAGGTGTATGAATGTAGGTGTGTATGTGTAGGTGTAGGTGTGGGTAGGTGTAGGTGTGTGGTGTGTGTAGGTGTGTATGTGTAGGTGTAGGGGTGTGTGTGTAGGTGTGGTGGGTGTAGATGTGTGTGTGGTGTGTGTGTAGGTGTATGAGTGTGTAGGTGTGGTGTGTGTAAGGGTGTGTGTAGGTGTATGAGTATAGGTGTGGTGTGTGTAGGTGTGGGTGTAGATGTGTGTGTGGTGTGTGTAGGGGTGTGTGTAGGTGTATGAGTGTAGGTGTGGTGTGTGTAGGTGTGTGTGGTGGGTGTAGATGTGTGTGTGGTGTGTGTAGGTGTATGAGTGTGTAGGTGTGATGTGTGTAGGGGTGTGTGTAGGTGTATGAATGTGTGTGTGTAGGTGTGTGTGGTGGGTGTAGATATGTGTGTGTGGTGTGTGTAGGGCTGTGTGTGTAGGTTTATGAGTGGAGGTGTGTGTGGAGGTGTGTGGTGGGTGTAGATGTGTGTGGTGTGTGTGTGGGGGTGTGTAGGTGTATGGGTGTGTAGGTGTGGTGTGTAGGGCTGTGTGTGTAGGTGTATGAGTGGAGGTGTGTGGAGGTGTGTGTGGTGGGTGTAGATGTGTGTGTGGTGTGTGTAGGGGTGTGTGTGTAGGCGTATGAGTGGAGGTGTGGTGTGTGTAGGTGTGGTGTGTGGAGGTGTGTGTGGTGGGTGTAGATGTGTGTGTGTGGTGTGTGTGGGTGTGTGTGGTGTATGGGTGTGTAGGTGTGGTGTGTGTAGGGCTGTGTGTAGGTGTATGAGTGGAGGTGTGGTGTGTGGAGGTGTGTGTGGTGGGTGTAGATGTGTGTGTGGTGTGGGGGTGTGTAGGTGTATGAGTGTGTAGGTGTGGTGTGTGTAGGGGTGTGTGTAGGTGTATGAGTGGAGGTATGACGTGTGGAGGTGTGTGTGGTGGGTGTAGATGTGTGTGTGGTGTGTGTAGGGGTGTGTGTAGGTGCATGAGTGTGTAGGTGTGGTGTGTGTGTAGGGGTGTCTGTGTAGGTGTATGAGTGTAGGTGTGTGTGGAGGTGTGTGTGGTGGGTGTAGATGTGTGTGTGGTGTGTGTGTAGGTCTATGGGTGGAGGTGTGGTGTGTGGAGGTGTGTGTGGTGGATGTGGCGGCTGGTGTAGAGGGATGAGGCAGGTATTGTGGTACCCACCGGGGGGTGAGCCACAACAGCTCTGGGATGCCAGCGCCCTGGGTAGGCTGAGGCAGAGCTGACAGCAAACTAAACAAAGCTTCTCAACTCTCTCCACAAGGATCCCAGAGGCTGGGCCTCAGCAACCCCAGGATAGCAGGGCAGGCGGCTGTCAGATGGTCTGGGGGCTCCCAGTAGGGTCTGACAGGCACCCAGGTTTTAGAAACATCAGTTTATCCAACCTTCTCACATTCATCCATGGCACACATGCAGTTTCCTAGGGCCCCAGAGTGGAGGGAGACGAGAGTCCTGCTCCCAGCCCGTCACCCTGTGCCTGGCTGGTTCACCCTACTCAGACCAGCATGGGGCCTGGCACATGGCACAGGGCACACAGCAGGCATGTCAGGGAGTGAAGGAACTAAAACCTGGCACACAGCATGCAATACCACCTCGTCACACGACTTGTGAGTCCTGCTCTGAATCCCAGGGCGCAAACCTGGGCTGCGCACAATTGGCACTTGATTCTGTTTCTTTTTTTTTGAGATACAGTCTTACTATGTTGCCCAGGCTGGAGTGCAGTGGTACAGTCATAGCTCACGATAACCTCAAACTCCTGGGTTTAAGTGATCCTCCCGCTTCAGCCTCCCAAGTAGCTGGCACTACAGGTACCTGCCACCGCGCCTGGTTTTGATGCTGTTTTGTACTCTGCTCTTGGGAATCATGTTCTCACGGTTTAGTGGGTGAAGGCCTTACCACCAGCCAAACTCCAGCACCCCAGGAGCAGGCATTTGCTCACAGAGTTTTAAGAAATCATACCCTGATTTGGCAGAAGTGGCTTAAATCTCCCAGGTTATCGGAGATAAATCAGTGATAACCGGTTTATCAGCTTCTCTTTGCTGCCAGTGGAGTTGTGTGGTGCGTTTCCTCCCTGTGGGCGGGCTGCAAGGTAGTGTGGGAGCCAGGACACCTGGGCTCTAGTTTTAGTCACGCCTGAATTGCTGTGTGCCCCTAGGGAAGTGAACCCTGTCTCTGGGCTGCAGCAGGAGCAGATTGGCTGGGATTGCTGCCCACTGGGTGGTGGAGTCAACCTCTGACCACGAGAGGCCAGGTGGCCTGAGAGGGGAGCTCCTACAGCAGGCTCGCGGTGTGTTGGTTCCGATGAATCCCGACACACTGGAAGCCTGAGGCTGAGGAGGGAGACACACACCTCCACTCACTCTCCTTTGCACCTTAGGGCTTTTCACAGCTCTAAGGTTACCAGCATGGCTTAGAAGCCAGGCAGAACAATACCTACGAGACCCTAGGCAGGGTATCTCCCTGTCCTCAGCCTCAGTTTTCTCATCTGTAAATGGGATGAGGACATGGCGGTACTGCGAAGCGTAAGTGCCGTAATACCGTAGTGTGTGCCAGGCACCATACCGAGGACAGTACACCTGTGGTTTCACTTAAGCTCTTCCTGGAACTCAGTTTTCTCATCTGTAAAACGGGATAATAACATACCCTAAGGGTTTCTGTGATGACTCACTAAGAGAGGGGATGCAAAGTGCTTAGTGCAGGCCTGGCCCGGAGCACAGGCTCAGCAAATGATGGCTTACACCCGAAAAAGGACTGGAGTCTCTGACTGGTGTGTGCGGTGGATGTGACACGGGTGTGCAATGTGCTGTGCTTGGTGGCAGGTCACACACCACACATGGGAGGTACTGGATTCTCTTGTTGCCCACTGGGTGGTAGAGTCAACCTCTGTCCACGAGAGGCCCAGATGGCCCACCCCAGCGTCCTCCACCTTGCCCTGTTCTGACTTGGGAATGGCTCCTGAGATGCTGGGAGACCCAGGAGCGGAGAGAGTGCCCTTGGGGGTCACGAAGACTTTGCCCACAGTGGACTGGCCTGGACGGTTTCCACAACTCGTCCCTCCCTGCTTTCCTTCTTTTCTTGAGACAGGGTCTTACTCCATTGCCCAGGCTGGAGTGTCGTAGTGCAATCTCAGCTCACCACAACCTCCACCTCCTGTGCTCAAGCGATCCTCCCACCTCAGCCTCCTGAGTAGCTGGGACTAAAGGTGTGCGCCACCATGCCCGGATAATTTTTAAATATTTTGTAGAGATGGGGTTTCCCCATGTTGCCCAGGTTGGTCTTGAACTCCTGACCTCAAGTGATCTGCCCACCTCGGCCTCCTAAAGTGCTGGGATTCCAGGTGTGAGCCACTGTGCCCGGCCCTCCCTGCTTTCCTAGCTCCATCCTGATCTTTCAGATTGGAAGTCAAGTCCCTCCTGTGCTCAAGACTTCCCCGCGGCCTCCACCTCACTTAGGATGCAATCTGCAGCGCTCCTAGCCGCGCTGAGGTCCTCTGGTCCCTGCTATATACCCATAGAGCTTCACTTCCTACCCCCAACCCCATGCTAGCCTCAGAAGTCCCCATGCTGCCTTGAGCCTCCTCTAGCCTCCTCGGCCCCAGGTCCACCACCCTCACTCCCCCGGACTCCCTGGACTCCCAGGTCCGGCTGTTTCTAACTGTCTCCCATGGGACCTGCTCTGTCTGCTCACTTGCTGGAGCAGAAATTCTCACACTGCCTGAAAAGCATCCAGATACACGTTGACATGCATGAGAGAATGGTGCTTGGAGGTCTTGCCAAAGCGTGTGGGGGTCACCCACAAAATGTGCTCGGTGCTGGACAAGTGGCTGTCACTCAACACACAGTCAAGGAACTAAACGGAATTCAAAGAGCACCCTCGCATTTCTCCCCGCTGCTTTAGGGTCCGCTCTTTTTTTTTTTTTTGAGACGGAGTCTCGCTCTGTCGCCCAGGTTGGAGTGCAGTGGCGGGATCTCGGCTCACTGCAAGCTCCGCCTCCTGGGTTCACGCCATTCTCCTGCCTCAGCCTCCCAAGTAGCTGGGACTACAGGCGCCCGCCACCACGCCCGGCTAATTTTTTGTATTTTTAGTAGAGACGGGGTTTCACCGTTTTAGCCGGGATGGTCTCGATCTCCTGACCTCGTGATCCGCCCGCCTCGGCCTCCCAAAGTGCTGGGATTACAGGCGTGAGCCACTGCGCCTGGCCAGGGTCCGCTCTTTTATTCCTCTCTGCCCACACTCCTGCAGATTAAAAGTCTCTAGAGAGGCAGAGAGGAATACTATTGAACGGGCTCTAACTCCATGTAAAGCTCCCTAAATATATCCTCTCACACTTCTATTATAAACAAGTATAGGTGCTAGGATAAGCCCCAATGTACAGATAAAGAGACTGAGGGTCAGAAAGGCCAGTCATTTGCTTAAGGACACATAGCTGGTAACTGGTAGAGCTGGAATGTGAAGCCCGGGCCACTGGTCTCCAGTTTCTTTCTTTTTTTTTTGAGATGGAGTCTTGCTCTGTCACCTAGGCTGGAGTGCAGTAGCACAATCTCTGCTCCCTGCAACTTCCACCATCTGGGTTCAAGCGATTCTCCTGCTTTAGCCTCCCGAGTAGCTGGGATTACAGGCATGTGCCACCACGCCCAGCTAATTTTTGTATTTTTAGTAGATACGGGGTTTCACCATGTTGGCCAGGCTGGTCTTGAACTCCTGACCTCAGGTGATCCACCCGCCTCAGCCTCCCGAAGTGCTGGGATTACAGGTGTGAGCCACCACGCCCGGCCTGGTCTCCAGTTTCAAGTCAGGCTCAGGTCTGAATCCTTGCTTGTGGGCTTGGGCAAATGGCCTGGCCTCTCTAGCAGTTTCCATAGCTATAAACTGGGAATAACCACACTAGCCAAAAAGAACCGACCTGACGGCCAAACGAGGAAGGGCCTGTGGACGTGCTGGGCCAGTGCTTGGCCCACAACGGCACCCAGTGGGTGAGCATTCCCTCACCTCCTTCAGGAGGGCCCCAGGGTGGCAGGATGGCCCCTCTGCTTACCGCGCCAGTGCTCTGCTGCCGGGCGTCCAGGGCTCCAGCCAGGCCGTCTGTTGCTTGGGGGGCTTCGTATTTTACCCTGAAAGAGAGACCACCAAGCCATTGGATGCTGCCCTTACCGATGGCTGATGCAAGAACGGAGCGGGCTGGGGGGCACAGATTGACGGCTCCCATCCTCCAGGCCTGCCTGGAAATGGTAAAAAGGGTCTCATTTCCTGCCTCTGGAAATTAGGATCTGACAAGTGACCTACATGACAGACAGCAGCAAAGGCTGGAGAGGTTAGGGAGGGTGTTGCTGGCCAAAGACTGAGACCAAGACCACCAATGGCTATGACCAGGATTGGCCAAACTCAGGAGACTGATAAATAGCTCCAGTGCCCGTAGGCTCATGGAGAATTCCCAGCAGACCCTTTCTTGAGCAGATCTTGTTTCCTATTTTATAGACTGTGGTTGTGTATGAGGTCGTATTTGAATGGGGGATTCCATTCTGCTGCTGAAAACACATCTATAAACTGCTGGGTGAGGTGCCATCTTGTCTTGCACTGGCTCACCAGCACAAAGATGACTCTGCCCCCACCTTGTCTCAGCAGCATGGGAGGTGGCTTGGTTACAGCTCTTCTAAATGTCCTCTGGGGGGTGCCAGCCAGCTAGGCAGGGTGGGGAGGCAGGAACTGGGAGGGCACGCAAGGCTGATGGGCTGGGAGCGGCAGAGGCTGACCCCACAGTTGCTGGGCAGATGAGGAGAGGCAAGGAAGGGTATGTTGTGTGTGAGGTTAAGTCTCCTGGGGAGCAAGAGAATAACCTGAGTGAGAGGAGAAGCTGGCTAAGGAGGAGAGGCGGCTATGGTGTCTTTCCCAGCTGCCGCAGTGGGGGTGCCCAGGGCAGGTGTTGGGGACCCAGCCCTGTTGCAGGGAAAGAGCCCTGTTATTCTCGCCCTGAACTGCCGGCAGACAGGACTTCAGCACTGGCTCAGTGCAGCTTTGAGGCAAAGAAGTAAGCCACAGAATTCTGGTCACAAAGGGAAAGGCCTGCGATTCCTGTTAGGAACAAGGCCACCTGACACGCTAGTGAAGCGGGGCTGGTCTAACTGTAGGCTTCAGGAACTGGGACTGCATCACATTTAACTCTTGCAATACCAGCTTGCTTTCTGAGGAATGGAGTAGGCTGGCACTGAAAGGGGCTTCTTGAATATGACCCCCAGTTCCCACGCAGTCATTTTGAAGAGTGCTGCTGTCTGTTCCTTCCCACCAGGGGCAGAGTTTGCTGGTGGAGTGTGACCACTAGCTGGGGCATTCCCTGGTTACACGGCTCCCATCCATGGCAAGTGGGCCAGTGACTACGGCAGGGCCCTGCTGGAGCCAACCTTAAAGCCAGTGGCGGGGGAGGTGGGGCGTCAGGTTGCTGACTTCTGACCCAGAGAAGGCCTGCTAATTGAGGGTCTGGAGGTGCTTGTTGCTGTCTCTAAGACATGCTTGGCGCATTGTGGGCAAGGCTGAAGAAGCCATGCCCAGCCCCAGAACACGCAGAAACCCATGATTTCCCTTCACTCAAAACAACTATCTGGGCCAGGTGCAGTGGCTGAAATCCCAGCACTTTGGGAGGCCAAGGCGCGCGGATCACGAGGTCAGGAGATCGAGACCATGCTGGCTAACATGGTGAAACCCCGTCTCTACTAAAAATACAAAAAATTAGCCAGGTGTGGTGGTGGGCGCCTGTAGTCCCCAGCTACTCGGGAGGCTGAGGCAGGAGAATGGCGTGAACCCAGGAGGTGGAGCTTGCACTCTGCAAGCGCCACTGCACTCCAGCCTGAGAGACAGAGCGAGACTCCGGCTCAAAAAAAAAAAAAAAAGAACTATCTGCCCTTCCTAAGCTTAGCTCCTCGCCACCCCTGCCCACACATGGCCCTGAAGCCCAGCTGTCCCTGAAGGCCATGCCTGTGGTGGTGGAGGGCCAAGCACTTCCCTGGAGGAAGCCCGCACCTCCTGCACTGGGTGGTGACCCCTGGGCTAGGGCCTGCTGCCCCCTGCCCAGTGCAGGAGGGTGGAGGGTCACTCCTTAGGTGGTCCCAGTGGGGCTGGTGGGCAGGGGCTGCACCTGGGCCACTGGGGTGACACTTGTCTAAGTGCTCCTTGTAGAGAAGGCCTCTGTGTACAGCAGCACTGACGAAGATGCGGACAAAGCGGGGGAAGGACACCCCTGCCTTTGTGAAGGCCTAGCCGAGGCGTCTCTGCTGTGGCTCGCCCAGAAGCCCTGCTACTCCTTGGCATTGAGTGGATAGGACTGGCTGCAGGAAGGCTGTGACGGTGCCAGCTGTGGTCAAGGCTGGAGCAGAAACAGCGGCTGATAAGGAGCTGGTTTCCCTGCCAGCCAGGGCAGAGCTGGTTGCAGGCTGGTGTGAAGTGGGGAGCCAGGCAGGTACAGGGAGGAGCGGGCTGGACACCAAGCTGGCAGAAAAGGCCAGTCAGGTGACCAGAGCTGGAAGATCCACCAGAAGCATTTAAGGGGGCCAGCCAGGCAGGAGAACAAAGGGAAGACGAAATGGATGCTCAGGTCCACGCCTGACCTTGCTGGATGTTTTCTGCCAGGGTGGAAACCAAGCCCTGGGGAGGGCCTGCAGGAGAACCAATGGCCTGAGAAGGTGCATGATGTCATTTCAGCTGTGCTCAGCTGAAGGCAGTTTCAAAGATGAAAATCTGATAAGAAAAAAGATCCTTCCTGTGCTCCCTCCTGCTCATGTTAGAATAAAATCAACTGCCTCTCTGTAGCCCAGTGGGCCCCACCACCCTCTCAGCATCCTGCCCCCTTCCCTGTGTGAAGAGCATCTTTCCCAGCTGCTGTGCGGGAGCCAGGGCACCTCTCTCCCGCCCTGCCTCTGAGACTTTGCACATGCTGTTCCTAGTGCCTGAAATGGCCTTCCTATCACCCAGCACCTGGTCCAGCTCTGAGTACCCTCCGCAGAGTTGCATGCTCCCTCCTCTGTGTCCACAGAGCCTGGTGCCCCCTCCAGGACAGCACTTAGCCCTTCACAGCGGTGGTCCTGGTGCATGTCACTCTCCCATGAGACTGCAGGCCCTAGAGGACAAGTTCCTTGTGTGCTTTTCCCTGTCCCCCGGAGCCTGCTCCCCAGAGGAAGGACAGCGCAACAGCATACCTCAGCCAGGCTGGTGACCAGGGCAGGCGCCAGGGTTCTCCAGTATGGCCAGCAGTGTTGCCTGCTGGGGCCTCTGTGGATGGGCGTGTCTGGCTGCAAGTCCCATCACACTCATTAGCTTGCCTTTGCAGGGTAGCCTCGGCAGCACCCCTAACTCCATGGCAACAGCTGCTGGTCCCAGGGTACCTGGGCTTAAAAGTACAGACTCTGCCCAGACTAAAGAAAGATACAGCTAACAGCCAGGGCAGCCCTAAGGACCTAGCAGGCTACAGCCTGGACCTGGATTTGTGGGTGTGGAGAGGTTATCCCTGGGCTCTCTGGAGGCCCATTGACAAAGTTCCAAAAGACACCAGAATGACCTCTAAGGAGCTGAGTGGGGTCAGTGGGAAGATCCCATAATCTAGAACTTTCCTTAGCTATAAGAATCCTGGCTGCCCACAGCTCAGCCCTGGGGGTCACAGTGGGCAAAAGGCTGAAGAAAACATCAAGCAGACTGTTCCTCTTACAAGCCTGTACGGGGCCAGTTCTCCCGCAGGTCCCGGCAAGGGGTCAGACCCTGGTGGACACACTCAGGCCACGTGCCTATGCTGCTGAAAGTACCCCCTGAAAATGCACGGTGCACAGGGAAGGGCAGAGCCCCAGCTCTGGGGCAAGGCTGACAGAACCTGCTTAATCTTCTCTGGAAATTAACGGTGGCTATGGAACAACAGAAAAAGACTTGACTTGAAAGTCCCTGAGGATTTATCAGGAAACTTCCCTGCTCCTGGAGGGCTTACTATGCGGTACACAGTGCAGGGAGGGGGGCGGGGGGTGGAGACACTGTGTTTTGGAACCAGACAGCCCTAGGCTCCTAACCTAGTGCTGCCAAATATTAGCTCCTTGACCTGGGGCAAATGAGCCTGCCCCTCTCTGTGCCTCAGTTTCCCCCTCTGATCAGACTATGTAAGATTCTGGCATACAGTGGGTCATTAGGCTCCCCCTCCCCCACCCAGCATGGCCTGTGGGGAGCGCAGTCTGTCAACTGACCACAGGGCTCCCAGGCCATGCTGGACTGACTTAGGGGATACTAAGGGCGTGCTTACTAAGCAGGGTCCGTGTGCCCTTCCTCATGGTGTGCCACCATAAAACCGGGTTCCAGAACCCCGAGAGCCACCCGAACTGCAGGGGACCAGGGCAGGGCCAGGCCACTCACTCTTTCCGTTGGTCAGCCAGTGAGCTGCCCCGTGTCAGCGCAAACATGTCAAACTCATCTTCCAGTCGACCAGAGGCCTCCAGAGACTGCAGGCCAGCTCTCACACTGCTGGAGCCCAGGTCTGCAGGGACAGAAAGGCCACGTGAAAGACCCATCCACAAGCTTGTGTGTGAGCTGCTGCTGAGCTACCTGCTGCCAGACCCAGGGCTTGGTGCTGGGGAAGTGGCACGTGTGGGTGGGGGAATGCGCGAGGCAGGCCACCTGCTGCTGGCTGTGGGGCCTTGGGCAAGCGGCTTCCTCTTCCCAGCTTTAGTTTACTCACCCCTCTTGGGGCTGCTGTGAGCGTTAGAGAACAGTCAAAACGCTATCCATTGATTCTGCTGGGGAAGTGGCTGGGCAGGAGGACAGTAATCAGATGGGTAGTCGATTTTTTCAAAAAGTATAGCATTAGTGATGCAAAATGGGGTGCTAATGATTTCCTAGGGCTTGGCATGAAGCAGACAGTAAATTATATTAAAACCTATCACAGTGATAACAGTGACAATGGCCAACTACTCAGCCAGAGTGCAACCTGGGCCTGGCATGGTCTAAGCGCTTCTCATACACGAGCTCCCTACTCCTGTTAAAGAGGAGGAAAGAGAGGCTCAGGAGGTTTAAGGAACTTGCCCAAGCTCACGCAGATGATTGAAGCCATGGAGAATTCAGTGTAGAGGGCCAATCCTAGGATGGTAGGATTTCTGAGATCCAAGGCGGCTCAGGACTTGTGGGGCTGCCAGGGGCAGTGACCCCGAGTGCCCCACCTTGCAGCAAGATTCAGCCTGGGACCCCAGCAAGGTGGGGTCCAGACTGACACTCTGCTGTGGGTATATAACAAGGGCACCCCGAAAATCTGCAGGGGTGCCCACAGTACCATAATGTACCCTCAGCTGGAGCCCTCCAAACCACACTTACTCATTCCTGCCAGCTGGGATGAGAGGTTGCCGGTGGCTGCTGGGTCAGGGCCCATGTCGATCAGGTCAGCTGCCGGCTCGGCCTCACTTGGGGCCTGGTGGGAAGGGAGATGCCCTGATCATCCCCGCTGTCTGCAGCTTCGTTCCTTTCTGCCCCAAGCACTGTGGCTTGCAGGCTTTGCCCAGGGATCTGTCACCAGGGCCCCAGGAGCTAGGACTGGGCATCAGGGAATTTCCTTCCTCCCCTCTGGCTCCAGCTCAACTGGACTCCCTGGGAGGTTGGGGAGACCCTGGGGCATCAGGTGGTGGCACAGCCTTATTTACCTTAAAGGGACAGGGACATAAAAAGTTAGAAGGGGATTTCTCTATGGGCCTGGATAAGACAGCACCACCCTGTCCAGTTTACTAGGGGAGGGAGGTGAGAATGGCACTCCTTCTTCCCATGAACAGGGCCTGATCTAGTCACAGAAAAGAAGACTTTTACCTTGGTGGTCTGGCCTGTTCGGAACCGTTCAAACCTACAAGACAGAAAAGACACGAGTTATGGAGACAGACTGAGACAGGCCCCCACACACGGCCAGGCAGAGCTTTTCAAACTGTGGGTCTCAACATCAACACGGTGGGTTATGATCAGGGTGATGACACGTCTGGTGTGCCCTGGACAGATCCAGTTCATGCCTGCTGTCCCTGGGTAACTAGCAGTGCTCCTCTTTCCCTTGCAAAAGTGTCCCAATTTGGATGATCAATTATAAGGCAACCTTAGTCATGAGTAGCATGAAACAAATAAACAGGAATAGGTTAGAACAGCAAAGAAAATAGGAATGCATGGCACGCAGTAAAGGTAAGGACTGTCTTATGAAACTTGTTTCAATTACATATTTGTGTGTGTGTATGTGTGTGTGTGTGTGTGTGTTAGTGCTCTCTTCAGTGCTGTAAGAAAGATACATGTATCTCTAATCTTGTTTTATGGAGCTACTTAGGGGCCGGTGTGATAGATCGAGAAGACTTTAGTGTGGGGTCTGTTCAAGTCGTGGCCTTGTCACTTATCACATGACCTCGGGTAAATTATGTTCCTTCTGAACTTTAGTCTGCTTGTCTAGTATCTGTAGGCACCTGCCTCCCTGAAGTGCTGAAGCCCAAATTAGGACATGGGTATAAGTGACTGCGAGCTTGAAAGCACAGTCAGATATTAAGCCTAATGACTGTGGATATCTGAGGGTACCAGCTGCTACCAGATGGGGCCCCTCAGTCACCTCACAGCCCATACCCCAAAATGGCAGGGAAGAGGCCTTTCATTCCACTGGGCCAACGAGCAGGAGAAGCTAGGCAGACGTGACCTGCAGGGTACCCCCCACTTTCCACTGATTTAGAATCAATCAGTGAGTGTCTTTTGATGGAGAAAGACACAAAAAATGAACAAGGGGCTGGAGGAGGCTGGAATAACTCATGTCAGTTATCAGACACCCTGGACTGCTAAGCGCTTTACAGACACTGTTTCATGGACTCTCACTTATGCCACAAGCCTCATTTTACAGATACAGAGGAGGTGTGATGGGCACACAATTTCTGCAGACCCAGCAATCCTTCTCCTTCTCTTTCCTTTTTTTTTTTGAGATGGAGTCTTGCTCTGTCGCCTAGGCTGGAGTGCAGTGGTGCGATCTCGGCTCATTGCAACCTCTGCCTCCTGGGTTCAAGCAATTCTCCTGCCTCAGCCTCCCAAGTAAGCTGGGATTACAGGCACCCACCACCACCTCCGGCTAATTTTTTTGTATTTTTTAGTAGAGACGGGGTTTCACCATGTTGGCCTGGCTGGTTGCAAACTCCTGGCCTCAAGTGATCCTCCCGGCTCAGCCTCCCAAAGTGCTAGGATTACAGGTGTGAGCCACTGCGCCCAGCCCTTCTCCTTCTTTTGTAATAGCACCTAAGTACTCTTTAGAGGAACTGCTCCTCCCCCATTTCACATCATCCCGGTGGGGCTGCCATCAAAGGGCCCTCTCCCATACCCCAGCTGGTAGGCACAATGAAGCTCAGCCAATCCAAGTCTCTCTTGGGGATGTGACTCTTGAACAGAATGATACAAGGTGGGCAGGTGGGTGTGGTGGCTCATGCCTGTAATACCAATGCTTTCGGAGGCCAAGGAGGGAGGACTGCTTGAGGCCAAGAGTTTGAGACTAGCCTGGGCAACACAGTGAGACCCCTGTCTCTGCAAAAAGAAAAAAAAAAAAAGAAAAGAAAATTAGCTGGGTGTGGTGGTGCATGCCTGTAGTCCCGGCTACCTGGCAGGCTGAGGTGGGAGGACTGCTTGAGCCCAGGAGGTTGAGGCTGCAGTGAGCTGTGATCATGCCACTATACTCCAGCCTGGGTGACAGAGCAAGATCGTGCCTCAAAAAAAAAAAAAAAAAAAAGGTGGACAGGTGTTTGTGGACAAGTGTTTGAGCTGATGTATTTATTGATGGCAGCACCCTGGGGAGATGGTCCAGGAATTTCTGCTCCTGAGACATCTGAGCTGCCCTGGGATCCATCTTTCTTGTTCTGTTGGGAGACATCAGTTTCACTTTTCTCTGGATTCTGAAAGCTACCCATTTAATAAAGATTATTATCCTAACAAATTCTTTTTCTGCCTAAGTTAGCCAGAAATGTTTTGTGTAGCTTGCAGCAGTGAAGTCACTTGTCTAAGGCCCCAGAACCAGGAAGTGGTGGAGTGGGCGAGGACACACCAGGCCAGTCTGGTTGCAGGGCCGTGCTCTCAGCTGTGACCTGTGACCATCTCCCAGGGCTGGACTTGGGCACAGGCAGCAGCGCTAACCCTGGAAAGGAGATACAGGGCGGCTGGAAGGAGGGGCCCTCATAAACATCCTGGAAGAAGACAGCTGAGGGCACAGGCCCTTAGGAGCCTGCCTTGTGTTTGAGAGGAGGACGAGAGAAGGCTCAGATGGCATGAGACCAGGAGAACAGGGAGGAAGGGAAGGGAGAGGGTTGGGGCAGTAGGCCAGAGGCCAGGGGAGGTGCTGGGGCTACCGTTCATGGCGCAGGAACACATTGTTGAGATTGTCATTGACGATGAGCAGCTCCTCTGTCAGCTGCTCATTGGCGATCTGAGGGATGAGCTCCAGGACCCGCTGCTGCATGGCTCGGCACGTGCGGTTGAGCTCCTGCCAGGAAAGGAAGTGAGGCAACCACAGTCACATGACTCAGAGTGAGGCCGTCTCTTTTTTTTTTTGTGAGACGGAGCTCTGTCGCCCAGGCTGGAGTGCAGTGGTGCGATCTTGGCTCACTGCAAGCTGTGTCCTGGGTTCATGCCATTCTCCTGCCTCAGCCTCCCAAGTAGCTGGGACTACAGGCGTCTGCCACCACGCCTGGCTAATTTTTTTTTTTGTAGTTTTAGTAGAGACGGGGTTTCGCCATATTAGCCAGGGTGGTCTCGATCTCCTGACCTCACGATCTGCCTGCCTCGGCCTCCCAAAGTGCTGGGATTACAGGCGTGAGCCACCGCGCCTGGCCAAGTGAGGCCATCTCTAATGCACGGGCCTCCAGCCCCTGCACAAGCCTTGGAGGAGGGTGAGGTGCCCAAACTGGACTTCAAGGTTCCACGGAACAGCTTTTTGGGTTCTACAAACATGAACTTGAACTTCACTTCCAAGTGTTAGATGCTAAAATTTAATCCACAGGAAACCATCAACATGTCCAACTGTGCTGCCGGTTTAACTTGGCTTCGTGCAGATTCCAGAATAAAGGTTGTGCCACCATCTTTGCTTAGTCAAAAAAAAACTGAGTCTGCAAAGGGGGCTGGCTGAACAAACCACAACTTCTGGGGGTATGCTGTGATTTTTGCAACCAAAGCATACAGAATGAACTAGATGACTGCAACCATTAGCCACAAACCTCGATTTCGAGTTTTTGCCTCACTTTTCTCACTGCCTGATTTTTTGTCTTTTTAAACAAACTTTTAGCTTTGGAATAATTTTAGATTTACAGAAGAGATGCAAAGATAGTACCACAAGTTCCCATATACCCTTGACCCTGGCTTCCCCTTAGTCTGGCATTTGTCAAAACTGGTAAACTACCATTAAACATTAAAACTGGTAAAATACTATTAACTAAACTGCGGACTTTATTCAGGTTTCACTAGTTTTTCCTCTAATGTCCTTTGTTTGTTCTAGGATCCTACACTGCATTTAGTTATCACGTCACCGACTTTTAACCACTAGGTGTCATATTTAAACTTATGAAAAATAAAAAAAATGGCTACACCCGGTGGCTCGTGCCTATAATCCCAGCACTTGGGGAGGCCGAGGCGGGTGGATCACCTGAGGTCAGGAGTTCAAGACCAGCCTGGCCAACAAGGTGAAACCCTGTGTCTACTAATAATACAAAAATTAGCCGGGCATGGTGGTGTATGCCTATAATCCCAGCTGCTTGGAAGGCTGAGGCAGGAGAATAGCTTGAACCCAAGAGGCAGAGGCTGCGGTGAGCCGAGATCGCGCCACTGCACTCCAGCCTGGGTGACAGAGCAAGACTCCGTCTCAAAAAAAATAAAAAAATAAAAAACCATAGCCATATGGGTTTTCATTTTTAAGATTGGTCAATTATTTCTTCAGGTACCTGCCACCAGGTGAAGGTTCCTGGGTCACGGCAGGTGCCTGGGTCCTGAGGTCCAGGGAGCTGCCCGGCATTGCCGACTGTGGCCTCACGCCAGCACGCCTTTCTCCTGGAGGCAACGCTGAGGCTCGGCACTGCCCAGTGTTTATTTTGGCTGTCATGTGGACCCTGTCCCCTGCCCCCTCCAAGGTCAGGCCTCCGGGATTTCCTCATCGCCCTTAGCACGGGGACAGGGCGGGTGCCTTTCAACATCCTGTGGGCTCCCCTCCTGCTCTTATGACCAAGCACACGGTGGCTTTGCTTCTGCTTCCCTGCTGGCCCCTCTCAAGAGCAGAAGAGCAGCACTTGGAGCCAGGCCCCCGGGTTCAAATCGCAGCTCTGCTACTTACCAGCCATATAACCCTGGACGTGTTATCTGATCTCCCTATGCCTATTTCCTGACCTGGAAAATGGGGGTGGTCAGGATTACGTGAGCGATGTGAACCAAGTGTCCACATATAGCCCGGGACACGGGAAGTGCCCAGTGCATGGGAGCTGTCCCTGCATCCACCTTGCTCAGCCTTCTGAGTCCCCAGACTGCTCACATCTCATGGCCTTGGCTTGGGGCGTGCGAGGCTGCCTGCGCAGTCTTCTCTCTTTCGGAGCCCTTACTGGGTTTCAAGTTTGTGTATTCACTGGACTCTGAGGCTACTCCTTTTCTCCCCACCCTGCACCACCAAGTGAGGACCCCTGCAGAGTCAGCTCGGTCAGGCACACAGACACGGTGGCGAGGAAGACACAGCGCTGCCCTCAAGGAGCCTGAGGCCTGGTGGACGAGCAGTAGGAACTCGAACAGTTACACGAAGCGCTCTGTCTCCTCATGGATTCTGGTGACTCCTGGGCCTTGGGGATTCCTAGCTCTCTTGGTGCCTCTATGACTGGCCTCCATGGGGAGGGTGCTTTTTGCCAAATTCAGTGTCCCTTCTGCTCCAGTGACCCCCAATCTGGGCTGGGGCCGTGGGAATACCATGTGACACCCGGGAGCAGGAACCACTAGCTCCACCTGCCTTGGCTCCCCAAGATCAGTGGCTGGCGCATCTCAAGGCTGGCACCACCCTCTCACACCTGCCTGCTGAGTCTCGGATTCTGAATGGTGTAAATCTCACCTTCCAGCTTTTTCTCAGGACCCCTTACTGGGTGCTTTACTCTGTACCAGGCACAAGCCTGCGTGTTTTTCATGCAATACCTTATTTAACTCACATCAAACTTGTGCCATGAAGGCTATTGTTAGAGCAATCTTACAGATGAGGAAACTGAGGCCAGGGGGGCTACTTTGTTCAAACCAGAAAGTGGTAGAGCTGCGATCTGATTCCAATCTGATGGCGTCCAAAGTCCCTGGTGGTAACATGTCCCCAACTGTGACCAAGGAGTATGGAGTAAGCCATGAAGACTGTCATGAGGATTGGGAAAGAATGCATGTGGGCAGCTGGGCAGGAGTCATCTGAGCCCCAGGGGGTGGTGCCACCTGCTCACCTGCAGCAGCTCCAGGTCTGCGGGCTCGGCCTGGGTGGGCACCAGCTCCGTCAGCATCTCCGACATCACCCTCACGTTCCCACTCACCATCTCCAGCTCACTGCGCAGCTTCCCAATCTGAAACACACAGTTGATCGTGGTGAGAGAAGCCAGGGTTCTGGGGCCCATGTTACTCACAGCGACAGAACCCAGTACCACCAACCCTGGGTGCAGCACCAGGGAGCCGACCTCCCAGCAGCCTCTCTAGGCAGCCTCCCTCCTGGCTCCCAAAGTGACAGCTCTGCACTAGAGGCCTGCCCCACCCCTTCTACAGACCCCTCACAGAGGCGCTACCAACCGTTACCATCTCCACACCGGAATGAGCCACCACGTGTGGCTGGAAGACTCCAGCATCTCCTGGGTCTAACACAGCAGCTAACAAGGCCCTGGAGGGTGGCTCCCCACAAGGCGGGGAGGGACGCTGCAGGCCCTCTCTCTCTCTCCCACTAGAGGACTGGGATTCTGCCCTCTCTCTCTCCTCCTAGAGGACTGGGATTCCGCCCTCTCTCCTAGAAGACTGGGATCCCCCCCTCTCTCTCCTCCTAGAGGACTGGGATCCCACCCTCTCTCCTCCTAGAGGACTGGGATCCCGCCGTCTCTCTCCTCCTAGAGGACTGGGATCCCGCCCTCTCTCCTCCTAGAGGACTGGGATTCCGTCCTCTCTCTCTCCTCCTAGAGGACTGGGATTCCACCCTCTCTCTCCTCCTAGTGGACTGGGCTTCTGCCCTCTTTCTCCTCCTAGTGGACTGGGATTTTGTCCTGTTTCTGGTCTATTTTGGTGTCCCAGGCTCATCTAAGGATAGTCCTTGCCCTGTACCCCACCTTGAATATGAAACTCAGATTTAGCACTTGTTCCAAGGGATGTGGGCAGGTTTTCAATGGTCAAAGGGTTCCAAGGAGTTGGGCTTGGGGAAACATTTTCAATAAAGCTGCAGTCTCCTCAAAGAGGTTAGCTTGTGAAAGGCCATTGGTATAAGGATCTTATGCTGTGGGACCTTGTAGGGTGTTTAATGCCCTCATGCACACTGGGAATGCCTGGGAAAAGATCAGTCTGAAAGCTTCTAAGATTTATTTGACTGAAGAACCTTTTTATGTTTTGAGAAATGCTGGTACATTCTAAATCATGTGGCTGAGTTATAGTTGATTTCAGAGTGTCACTATATACATTCATGATTGTGACAGCAGCTACCATTTATAGACTACCTAATAAGTGCCAAGCATTGAACATATATTGCTAACTTAATTTTTTACCATGGTAGACATCAATATCCCTGCTTTTATAGATGAAGAAATGGAGTGTAGAGACTAGTAGTATATCCACTATGGTTCACTGACACCTTCCAAAACCTGCAAAATGTTTGATCTATTTGGCTTACTTAATGAACACTCTTGGTATGAGTGAGTGGAAAAACTACTGATCACAAACCCCATGTATCCAAATCAGATGGGACTTAATTACAGAGGAGTCTGGGAGTAACATCACTGCACACCTGATGTCTTAACATGTCCCAAGAGACAAAAGGGGACTCTCGAATTAAACAAAGATTAGTTTTGTTTAGCAAGCACCTTCTTGCATTGGAAGTAATTAGCGTCTTAATCCACACAGATGCTAGACTTCAGAAAATTGGTTAAAATCATAACTGAGTTAGACAATCACAAGGTGGTTTTACAATTTTTTACACACCTTTAACCCACTCAGAAAAAAAAAGTGCAGCTCGCTGTCAGCACTCATTTAATTTTACATAAACATGCTCTTTGAGGCTGAAGTAAACCTGACTGATTTTCAACATGAAAATAAAACATAAAAACTGTTCTTGGAGTTATTTCTAAACAGAACTTGTCTCCAATCCTAACGTAACAGAAATGTATATGAGGTTACATTAGGATTAGAGACAAGAGTATTCTTGGGGCAAACGGGCAGTGCGTTAATAATTTTGTCCAGTTAGCAAAATTTTCTAGTAATATCTGTAACTCTGAGGGGTGATTTCATAACTTGCTATGAGAAAACAAATCATGGAAGTTTCTCTTCAAATAGGTTAGGGTGAGAATGAGTTCAAATGATACAAAAAGTGGGCAGTGGGGACGCTTATTGGGAAAGTTAAGCTTCACTTTTCTTTCCATCACACATCCGTGTCTAACTCACCAGCACACTCAGCAGCTCCACCTTTACGCTCCGCGGATGTGATGGGCCTGATGTGTGTACAACACCTTTAACGTGGGTGTCTCCACAGTGTGCAGGCCTCTGCCCCCACCCCAGCAGCCAAAAGTCTAGAATGACAAGCCCCCAGCTCTACGAGCTGGTCATGGCTGTAGAAGTCACTCAGCAGATACAGCAGCCATGGCACTCCACAAGCAGCTCATGGCCCAGTGGGCCATGAGGAGGAAGGAAGTGACATGCCCAGGGTGCCACCTGCTCTGAGGTGGGTAATCCTTCAAAGCTAGTCAGAGGGCTGGGAAAACCTGTCCCCTAGAATCTCATACTAAGCCTCAAACCTTCTTGGCTGGGTGTGGTGGCTCATGCCTGTAATCCCAGCACTTTAGGAGGCCAAGACGAGTAGATCACTTGAGCTCAGGAGTTCGAGACTAGCCTGGCCAACATGATGAAACTCCATCTCTACTAAAAATACAAAAAATTAGCTGGGCATGGTGGCTCATGCCTGTAGTCCCAGCTACTCAGGAGGCTGAGGCAGGAGAATTGCTTGAACCTGGGAGAGAGAGGTTGCAGTGAGCCTAGATGGTGCCACTGCACTCCAGCCTGGGTGACAGAGCAAGACTGTTTCAGAACAAACAAAAAAGCTTCAGACCTTCTTGAGACTTCATGGGAAGCAGCATGGTACAATGTACATATGTTTTTTATTTTTTGCACAGATGTTTGAAAACTTTTCAGGCAGAACCTCTCTTCAAATGAAGCCTTTTTTTTTTTTTTTTTTTTTTTTGAAACAGGTCTCTCTATGTTGCCCAGCCTGGTCTCAAACTCCTGGGCTCAAGCCATCCTCCTGCCTGAACCTTTGAGAAGCTAAGATCACAGACGCACGTGACCATGCCCAGCTCAAATGAAAGCTGTGAGTGTGTAAGAAACCACACAGGTGGAGCTGGCCTGAAGGGGCTGCGTACAGGACACCTCTCCATGGTGCTGTTGGAGGGCCCCGCAGAAAACACAGGTTGGAAAATGGCCAAGGTACAGGGCAGTGCCTGCCAGGAGTCAGACAGACGTGAGCTTGGATCCCAACTGTCTCTGATGACTGTGTGCTCTGGGCAAGTGAATGGACCTCTCTGAGTCTCATCGCTCAAACAGGAAGAACCACACATACCCTGTGGGCTGCTGTGAGGAAGAAGTGGAGGCTCCGTGGATGGTAAATTCTGACAGGGGGCCCTCCCTGACGTGTGTGGCCCACCTGCCTGGACCTGACGGTTCTGACCCCAGGCTCGTTTACCTGTTCCGGGGTTGGTGCTATGGGCGTGTCACCGGAGAGTATGGGCGGGGCGGGCAGAGGGGCAGCATGCTGGCCAGAGTCCTCTTGCTGGCTGGAGTCAGTGCCCACAGAATCCTGTCCTGATTGTGTCTCTGAGTTGAACACGGTCTAGTGGGAGGAAAACAGGATCAGTGAGGGCTCCTGGGAACATCAAGAGCCCAGGAAGTCAGGGGCCAGCCTGGTGATGTCTCTGGGGATGAGTCCTGCCTCCCTTCCCTTGGTTCCCGGTACGGCAGTTCTCTCACCCTCTGGGGTGTGTGGATGGGTGACAGCATGTCCAGGTCAGTCATGGGGAACTCCAGGCCTTTCCTCCGCAGGTCCTCATAGATGGTGACCACACCTGTCAGATCGGGCGAGCTGCGGAACGCGTCAGCCCAGGACTGAGAGGGGACAAGGGGACACAGCCGGTAACCACAGCTCACCTGTGAGCCTGCCCACCTGGCACTCAGACAGAGAACAGACATTCTTTCCCTGCTTTTTTTTTTTTTTTAACTACATCTGCCCTGCCCACTCCACAGCAAAGCACGCAGTTGGCAAGCCTCCCTCCCCACAGAACATCCCACCAGCCGACAACCGAGACGCCCCGAAATGAGAAGCGGAGCCTGGGACAAACACGATGGCCTCGACTCTCCACTGGGCAGGAAGCTCCTGCACTGACAGCTCTTCCTGGCCGTGCCCTGCCCTGTCCTGGCACTCACCTGGATGAGGTTGAGCACTTTGTCATGCACGATGGTGGGTGGGTTGTTCTTGGGCAGGATGGTCCTCACCAGCACACTCTCCACGAAGTCCTGGCTGGCCACCAGCACGTGGAAGCGGTGCCCGCAGTTCTTGACACAGGTTTCTAAGACCTGGAGGGCCGAGAGGTGCCGTCGAGCACCTTGGTCAGAGGAGAGGAGGTGCTCAGAACCCCCACCCTCGTGGCTCCTCCTGTGTCCCAGAGAGGAGGCCCGGGAGAGGAGATGGGACTTCCTGGAGTGAGACCCTTGAATGTGGAGGACTGGGACAATGCCAGGACTGGGGGACTTGTTTACTGGAGGGCACGGCCTAGGGTGGGCAGAGGTATGGTGTGTGGGCTGGACTTCCTTCCCTGACTGGCGTCAGTGCACGCAGAATCCCAATGCTGTCTCTGAGCTAAACATGGTCTAGAGAGAAGGGGCTCTCCAAGAGGAAATCAAGGAGCATCTGAGATGTCAATCGACTGGTGAGCCTGTGGCCCAGGGAAAAGGCACTGAACTTCCCTCCCCACTCTCCACTTCCCACTGCAGGAATTGCCTTTGCTTTTTGCTTAAGCCAATTCACCTGGATATAAATGCTGCTTGTGGAGGAGGGTGGGACAGCATTTATATCTTCCCCAGCCAAACCCATGCTGACGGCTAGGAGGCCCACGTGTGTCTGGCCGCCCTGAGATCTGGGCTGGTTCAGTGGTGTGGGCAAGACTGTTCTCAGCCACTGGTATTTATTTTACATTCATTTGCCAGAGCACCAAAGTGCCGAGCAGCACCCAACTCAGTCAGCCGGCCTCCCTGCCCCCGCGGAGGCCTGGGTTTACTGAGCTTCAATGTCACCCACAGGTCCTTTGGCCCAGGCTCTCCCTGCCAGTGGTTCTGGAGTGATGTAAGCGTCTGTTCCCATGCTGGGGGATTGGGGAGAACCTTTCCAAATGGCCTCTTGCCATTCTGCATCCGCCTGCAGTGTAGACAGGACAGTGCGTTGCCTACAGACCTTTCCAGCTCTCAAATGAGGAGCTCAGAGGAGGCTGGGAGTCCTGCTGGGTCTGAGGGGAGGTGACTTTCAGTGGACCGTAGTCCTGCCACAGGACAGACAGATGGGGCACTCACTGTGAGAGCCAGCATCACCTCGTGGAAGTTCTTATTCCCCACGATTCTCTTCTTTACTGCTCGGAGGGCATCTTTGGGACTAAGGAGGACAAGAAAAAGGGTGGGCTTAGGAATAGAGCCCCCTTACCTAACACCAGAGACCCTGGAGAGTTGGAACAGTTCTTATTGGCCCATCCTCCCTGTGCCCCACCTGTTTTGTGTATCCAGCCAGGTTCTGATCACATCAGAATCTTCCTAGCCCATTGCTTAGCAGGGACTCACAACCTGTGGCCCCTGGACCTCCAGCAGCAGAGTCACTTTGAGAAAAGATGAGAGCGTTTTGTTAAAAGTGCAGAACCTGGCCGGGCGCGGTGGCTCATGCCTGTAATCCCAGGACTTTGGGAGGCTGAGGCAGGTGGATCACTTGAGGCCAGGAGTTCAAGACCAGCCTGGCCAACATGGTGAAACCCTGTCTCTACTAAAAATACAAAAATTTGCCGGGCGTGGTGGTATGACCCTGTAATCCCAGCTACTTGGGAGGTTGAGGCGGGAGAATCGCTTGAACCCAGGAGGCAGAGGTTGCAGTGAGCCGAGATTACGCCACTGTACTCCAGCCTGGGCAACAGAGTGAGAGCCGAGATTGCGCCACTGTACTCCAGCCTGGGCGACAGAGTGAGACCCTGTCTCAAAAAAACAAAGGACATTCAAAAAAAAAAAGCAGAACCCTAGGTCCCCACCCTAGACCACCTGAACCAAATTCTCAGGGAGTGGGGCCCCTGAATCTGAATGCTTCTCATGCTCCCCAAGGGTTTCTTATGCATGCTCAAGTTTAAGAACAAATAACCTGGAGGCATAATGTTTTCATTACAAAAATAGAGATGGGGTCTTGCTATGTTGCCCAGGCTGGTCTCAAACTCCTGGGCTCAAATGATTCTCCCACCTCGGCCTCCCAATATGTTGTGATTACAGGCATGAGTCCCTGAGCCCAGCTAGCATAGTGTTCTGATGCCCCGTCCTGGCCAGCTGCTCTATCTGTCCATTTACCCTTCCATTCAAGTTTTTTTTTTTTTTCCTTCTGAGACAGAGTCTCACTCTGTCGCCCAGGCTGGAGTGCAGTGGTGCAATCACAGCTCGCTGTAGCCCGGAACTCCTGGGCTCAAGTGATCCTCCTGCCTCAGCCTCCCAAAACGCTGAGACTACCAGTGTGAGCCACCATGTCTGGCCCATTCAACTCTTATTAAGCACCCAATATGTATGTAGCACCATGCTAGGTGCTGGGGACACAGTGGCAAACAAGACCATATGGCCCTGCCTCCTCCCCACCTTGCGGGGAGATCCAAAGAAGAGCAAGGAATAAGCAGGTCCTGGAAAAAGAGCAGAGGTGAGGATGGGGGTGGTCAGAAAAGACCTCCGAGGGGGTGGTCTTGTAGTTGGGCCTTGAAAGATGGGAAGGACCACCTGGGGGGAGTGGGGGCAGAGCAGTTTGGGTCAAGGTCAGAGCCTGGACCAAGGTCTTGGGTGCAGAGGAGCTTGATGCCTTGGAGGAACTAAGAGGAGGCCACACTGAGTGTGGGGGAGGTCGGGGAGGGCTGAAGAAGCCTAGGGGTCACGGTGTTGGGAGGCCCCTGGAAGCTGGGGTGCCAGCCTGCTCTCCCTGTCCCCTCTGTGATTCCCACCATCCTCCACCCTCGGCCCTATACAGGTATACTCAGTGCTGCCCTGACTGCTCTTGTCTAAAAGCCTTTGTGCAGGGCCCCCACTTGCACCCTGAAGGCTCCTGACCTCCACATCCATGAGGTGAAGCCTCAGCTAAAATCCACCCCTTCCACAACACTTTCCCAGGTCCTCCAGTCTCCCTGGCCTGTTCTGCCATGCCACATTGAACTGGGGGCCCACCCTGGGTAGAGAAGAAGCTTGCTAGAGGGCAGGGATGGTGTTCTCTTTGGACAGCTTCCCTTCCTAGAGCCCATCACACTACTGAAGCACAAGTAACATTTCTCAGCCTGGCCAGTGGCCACTGGGACCCATCCGGCTGTCTGCCTGGCTGTCAGTGCTGACCCCATCCAGGACTAAGGCAGGAGAGCCTGGAACCCTGGCACTGGTTCTCAGCAGGAGTGAAGGCAGAGGCAAGGCTTCCTAGGGACAGAGCCTGCCTGGGGGCTAGAGCTATGGAGGCGGTCAGGCCTGCGGTGGAAGGGACACGGTGGGGAAAGGGATGGTGGCCCACCAAGGGGGGTCCTGGCCCAGAAGCCTGAGAGCAGTTTCCAACCCTTGCCTCCCTGGGCAGCCCCTCGCCCGTCCCTGGCTCCTGGTCTTGGCCTGGCCACTGACCCACGGGCTACTTCAGCGCTTTATAGTGACTTCTTTCCACCTCTTCTAGGGTGGCCTAGACACAAGGGAATCAGAATCATTCCCTGGCATGTTCCGCCATGCGCCACTGACCTGGGGGCCCACCCTGGGAGAGAAGAAGCCTCCTAGAGCGCAGGGACAGCGTCCTTGTTGGACGCCTTCTCTCCCTAGAGGGAAGCACTGGGAATCGGAAGTTCTGGCCTTGCCACTGCTGTGGGCCCATGATGTCCGGTACTCTGCTGGGAGCACAAAGTGTATGACAAGGAGGCCACAACCCAGTGGGGGAGACACTTTAGCAACGAGGCTAAGTTTAGGTGCCATGCTTGGTGAGGTCAAGGGTCATGCCTGCCTTTGATCACTGCTGGGTCCCTAGTGCCTCCTGTGTTGCCTGGAACACACAAAGTGCTCAAATAAATAGCAATGCACCTGACCGACGCCGAGCCTGTTCCTCCCATGTTTATAAGGGACATGGGGGCTTGCTGTCCCCAAGGATACTGCAGTGACTTGCAGCTGCGACGTCCATGAAGCTCCCAGGCCTGTCTAGAGGCTTGGTGAGGTTTTCTGCCTCCTGCTTTCTTTCTTCTGACCTCTGCCCACCACTCCTTCCCTCACCCTCACTCTCATGAGTCCTTGGCAAGATCAGGGAGCAGGGCTGAGGAAGACACCGGCAGGTTCCTGGCAGCCACTGCCCTCTCCTGACTGGGCCTTGACTGTGTGACTCAGATGCCCACAGCCTCCCTCCAGCTCAGAGCTGGGCACTCCCTGCCCTCCACCTGCATCCAGCCTGCGCCTCTCCACGCAAAGCCCTCCCGGGCTGAGAGGAACCCTGCACTGGCCGCGGGAGAGCTGGATGATCCCAGTGAGAACTGGAGAGGGAAAGGAGGGTCCACACTGATTTCTCAGGATGGAGGCCTCGTCTGGCAGCACTTCCTGCTGCCCACGGCTCCCACACCTCTGCCCAGCCTTCGCTGGGTTTTCCTGAGAGGACAGGGACCCTCGCATCCCCTTTCTGCTCCCTCCAGGGACTCGGGCTTATTGCTGGAAGGATCTAACAGAGCACCTTCGAGGACAAAGACCTAGAGAGGTAAAGTGACTTCCGAAGGTCACACGGCTGGTCAGTGACAACGAGTCAGACATTGGAGGCCAAGACCCCAATCCTTCCCCCACACCATGTGCCTTGGCAGGGCTCCTTGGCACTGAGCAAGACGATACCGTGACCCCAACACCAGAAACGCCCGGCAAACGCCAGTGCTGTTCAGGCTCACGGTTCAGCTTCACTTTCCCTGCCATCCTTGTGATCTCCCTTACCCTCCAGGCTGGTTTCAAATCTTAAGGAAATGGAAGTCTGTTTTTGCTCGCAGAAAAGCCGGAGTCTCTCTAGTACACACTCCCGCCTGCAGAATGCAGATGGCGCTTGGGGTCAACTTCTGATTAAGAGTCTCCAGCTTGCCTCATCCTAGGCAGATGCTGCACACAAGGCTGGGCTTCCAGATCCGTGTGGAATCTGGGCTGCCACTAAGAGAGGCGGGGTGGGGTGGCAGCCCCCAGGGGCCAGCTGTGAATTCCTACCTTGGATGGGGCTCAGGTACTAGGGGCTCAGATGGCCTCTGCAGCCAAGCGGGTTGGGTCAGACTTGGTGGCTATGGCAGCAATGGGGCTGGGGCAGGGGCTCCCTGGAAGGGTGCAGGAGTGTGCTGCGTGGTGGGATGGCCGTCTCTGCCCCCAACCTCTCCTTGGGGGGCCCTTACCCTTCCTCCGTCTCGTTGATGATGTCGCAGATCTCCATGTTGAGGGCCCAGTCCTCGCTCTGCAGGGAGCCATCTGTGGCTTTCTCTGAGAAGAAACCAGGAGTCATAAAGTCATGAGGGGGTCCTGAATGGGTAAACTCAAACCGTGGGTGGGAGAGGAGGGGGGTGCAGGGCCGGATGAGATGGGGAGGAGGAAGATGACAGACACTTCCTGGGCACAGGGCCTGGCCCTGTGTGAGACTGCTCTATACACATTGTCCCATCGTCACTAGATTCTTGTAGCCACTGAGGCCGGAGTACCTCTGCTCTTCAATGGATGAGGAAACCATGACTCTGAGTGCACCAAAGGGATGCACCAGAGGGGAATCTAGGTGGGCCTCCGTGTGCTTATTCCTGACATGACAATATGGAGACAGTGCTTTGCTTCATTTCTGTAGATAAGATGTTCTCCCTTGACTTTAGAATTATCTTTTGAGCTGGGCGCGGTGGCTCACGCCTGTAATCCCAGCACTTTGGGAGGCTGAGGTGGGTGGATCACCTGAGGTCAGGAGTTGAGACCAGCCTGACCAACATGGTGAAGCCCCGTCTTTACTAACTACAAAAAAGTAGCTGGGCATGGTGGCACATGCCTGTAATCCTGGCTACTTGGGAGGCTGAGGCAGGAGAATCGTTTGATCCCAGGAGGCGGAGGTTGCAAAGAGATTGAGCCATCACACTCCAGCCTGGACAACGAGAGCGAAACTCCATCTCCAAAACAAACAAACAAACAAGCAAAAAAGAATTATCTTTTGAGTTGGTAACCATTCACAGGATACAAAATGTAAAAGTTCTCAAGTGGTATACAATGGAGCTAGGTAAATCTATCTCTGTCCCCTGCCCCAGCCCCCTCTTCCTAGAGGCATCCCCTGTAACCAGGTTCCTCTAGAATCTCACAGAGAGCTTCTTTACCTAGGAAGCAAACGCTCCATTACTAACAGGTCACCTGGCCCTCCTGTACCCTTCTGAGGCACCCACAGAAGGGACCGATGCCGAGCCACCCAGCAGAACTACCCCAAAGAGAGGTGATGATTCATGCAAGGTACCAGCACAGTAAGGTATCAGCACGGCAAGGTATCAGCACGGTACGGGCCCAAAATAAACACTCAGCAAGTGGTGGTGGTTCTTTTTAAAAAAAGTTGAGGCGAAAGTCACATAAAATAAAACTAACCATTTTACCATGTATAATTCAGTGGCATTTGGTACACCTGTAATACTGAATACAACCACCACCACCTCTATTCAGTTCCACGAAATTTTCACTTTGTGGCAGTTCCTAGGGTAAGATTTCCAGGCCGGGAGTCGGCTGCAGAGTTCTGGAAGCCTGTCAGGGCCATGGCCGGGACCACTGGCTGCAGGTCTGCATGGTAGCAAGCACCGGGCTTGGCAGCCTTTTGTGAACTGTAGTGTGGGAGGCACTAATTGGTATTACATGAATGATGAACGCAGGAACTCGCAATGCCAGCACCTTTGTAAACGGTCTTTAGGAAAGGGAGGTGCCGCATGGCCTGTTTTCTGTTCTCTGCGCCTTCCTAGATGCTATCTTCACGCGTCAACCACGTGCACACAGGAAATTTTGTGCCCTGTTTCTTGCAGGTAACGTTCCATTACACACATCACTCTGGCTGGTATGTATTGTGACTACATGGAGGACTGTGTGATAAGACAGGCTTTGCTCCGCCTTTTAAGGGTGAGACCCTGTTCTGACACAGGGCACTACCCAAGGTTCCCTCCCCTGCAAGTGTCACATGCAAAGTACTCATCCGCCTGCTGCAGCCACCCTGCCGGCCTTGGCACACCTGCTGGCTGATGGGCCAGGCACTTGAGCACAGTGCTGCCGGCTGTCTATTATCTGTCAGGAGTGTGTGCCAGAGTAGGCATGTAGAACTTGTTATTCCACGTGATGTCACGCTGTCCTGCAAGGGAGGCTCTCTCCTCACGGCTGTGCCCCGGCTCGGGGAGGGTGGGTGACTCTTCGCTTGCTACACGGCTATTTGTAAGCCAAGCCGGTTCCAGGCACTGGGATACCATGGTGGACTCGGTGGGCATGGTCCCTGCTTTAAGGTGCCCAAAAGAAGCCACAGTGCCTGCTAAACCCAGTCTGCCGGAGGACAGAGGAGGGCAGTTTCTGCGGGACTGGACAGGGCCCTCTTCTAGCCAGGCTGGCTCAACCAACACTAAAACTGTGGCTCTGAGACCTTGGTTTTGCAATTGGCCCAACTTCAGTTCTACCCTCAGGTCCTGAGCCAGACGGATGCCAGGGTGGCCCAGGACACATGCCAGGCGGCTGAGGCAGAGGGCGGTTGCTTTACCCCTAGATCAGGCCTGGAGGAGGGGATGAGGAAAGCTCCTCTGACAGGGCTGAGAGACAGAGTTGTCCATCCTGTGAAGGTTTACTGAGTGTGGCTTCTTTGTACCACACCCCTGCCCTTGGGGGTTCCACACTTATAGAGCCACCTGGGAAGAACAGAGCGGGCCAAACAAGTGTCCCTCTGAGCAGAGGGCCGTGCCCTGCTTTGGAGGGTTTTGGGGCGGGGGTTAGTCATGTCAGTCAGTGTTAACCTACAGAACCTGCTCCTCTGCCACAGGCCACATCTCAGCAAGCCCCAGTCACACAGGCCAGAGGATTAGTGTCATCTCCCTCCCTAGCCACACCTAAAGGCCACGAAGTCCTGCCAAGTCAGCTCCCAAATCTCTGTCCATCACACCATCCCCTCTGCCACTGCCCCTGCCCCAGCCCGGCCACCATCCTCCCGCTAGACTACCGCCTCAGCTTCTTCCCTCCTCCTGCCTCCCTCCTCCCACCCATTCTCCACACTGTCCAGAAGGAACTTTCTGAAACCTGAAAATGACAGTGTCCTTCCTGCCCAAATCCTTCCGTGTCTCCCTAGTCTTCGACCTGGCCTGCATGCCCTTCCACAATAATAATATTTTAACTTCCCAAGTTATATGCCATAGAATATCAAGCAGCATTAGCTGTTCACATGAAGAATGAGATTTAATTTTAACACACTGTAAGGTGTGCATTATTGCCCTCATCTCATGAGGAAACTGAAGCACAGAGAGATCACCAACTTGCAAAGGGCACACAGAGGTAAGGGCGGGGCAGCCGCTGACGCTGTGGCGCAGGTGCCTGAGGCTTCTGTGCCATCCGCATCTCTCAGCAGGGGCGGGGAACACTGTTTTCCCAGAAGTGTCCTTCCTGACCACACAGGGAGTTGGCCCTCTCCTCCCTGAGCTCCACCGGCAGGCCTCTCAGTGGTCCCCACCATCAGATCCTCTTCTGTCCCCAGTACCCCCTGAAAACGATGGGCACCTCTCATCTCCTGGAGGAGGGAACATCAGTGTTTCAGGAGAGGCTGTGGTTGTTTTGGAAAGGCAAGTAAGTGGCTTTTAAAGGGAAGCGGGGACATTGATAAATAAGAGAAATCCCATACCCGGCAATCAGGTGGGAGCAGAAGGACCCCCCGCCCCCACCCCGTGCATGAGTCTGATGTGACCCAAGCAGTGCAGGCAAGCTCCTGAGCCATGAGTGGCAGCAGGCAGTAGTGGGCAGAGCCAATCAGAAGACGGAGGTTTTCTGCGGGGTGGGAGGG
The DNA here is from genome assembly GCF_000001405.40 of Homo sapiens. NCBI lineage: Eukaryota > Metazoa > Chordata > Mammalia > Primates > Hominidae > Homo > Homo sapiens. The sequence continues at coordinate 35,314,329 of NC_000022.11, read as the reverse complement.
GATATGTGGCCTAAACGAGAAAGGGGAGAGGAAGAGGAGGAGGAGACAAAATCGGGACAAGGCAGATCTGAGCAATTCCAGTACAAGACAGCTGTTGGGAGGCTGTGGGACATCTGCCCAGACCATCACTTGCCAACCCCTTCTAGGTTCCTCCAGGTTCCTCCAGGTCCAGGTGTGGACAACAGGATTGCGGTGAATCATGTGGATTTCCTTCAGATGCCCACAGGGTAGGCATATTCCATCAGGGCAGAATTTTAAACCCACAGGAACCTGGCAATATTTGCTTTGTTTTTGTTCTTCACCACAGAAGTAATTCAGCTTGCTATTTTAAGAAGGGGGAATAAAAACACGGACAGTGGTTGCCAGTTACCAAGAGAATGACAACTGATTCCCCGACCTCGGAGCTGTAACCTTCAAGGGCCTCCGGGTAGCAGCTGTGCTCTTGTCTTCCAGCTCCTGACAGAACCGGGCCCTGCAATCCTCCACCTGTCATCAGGCGGCTTTGCAGTTGTTTATGGCTGGCAAGCCTGTGGCTTCGGATCACTGGGCACCTGTGCGTCCTTACAGCAGTCTGTCCTCTCCCTATTGGGTCTGGTGCAGATACCACCTCCCTGGAGGGCTCCAGATAATCTGCCTGGCATGATGGCAAGACCCACCTGCCCCTCATGGAGATGAGGGTGGAGTGGGACGAGTCTGGCCTGACCTAACTCATAGAATGTGGGCAAAGATCCAGCCCCTCTGAGTCTCTGTTTTTGCACCCGTAAAATCAGGATAAGACTGCCTGCCTCACAGGATGTTGTGACCTTGCAGCCAGACAATGTCAGTATGACATCAGGAAAGGCTAGCAATGAGTAACCGAGCTACAATGACTATGACTTGGGCCAAGAGAAAGAATGAGTAGTCACCAAAGACACGCCACACCACGGGCAGGATCAGAGATGGGGGCCATGGTATGGTATCACCCCTTTCTTTCTTTTTTTTTTTTGAGACAGTCTCGTTCTGTCACCCAGGTTGGAGTACAGTGGCACGATCTTGGCTCACTGCAACCTCTGCCTCCCGGGTTTAAGCGATTCTCCTGCCTCAGCCTCCCGAGTAGCTGGGATTACAGGTACCTGCCAACACACCTGGCTAAGTTTTGTATTTTTAGTAGAGATGGGGCTTCACCATGTTGGTCAGGCTGGTCTCGAACTCCTGACCTCAAGTGATCCACCCGCCTTGGCCTCCCAAAGTGCTGGGATTACAGGTGTGAGCCACTGCCCACTGTGTCCGGCCAGTATCACCCCTTTCCACACCAGCCTTCTGGGAAGCAGCCTGGAGCCCGCTCGCTCCCATCCTGCACATTCCAACAGTCTCATGATCACTGAGACAGCTCTGGCTCAAGCTGCCACCTCCCCAGGCCTGCACTGTCACCTCCACGCTCTACTCAAACATAACTCCAAGCACAACTTCCTCTGTTTAAACATTGTCCATCACCCTCACTGCCTGAGGATCAAAAGCCTGAACTCTCCAGGGGCTGGCGTCAGCCACAGTCAGCTGTACCCCCTTCCTCTATGTGGCTTGCCCTCTCACGCCTCTGAGCTTCTGTCTGCAATGCCATTCCTCATTCAGTCAGGCTCATCCAGTTCACATGCTCATCTGGCACTCAGCATGCACCAGGCATGGGACTAATAAGCACGTCACACCCTCAGTCACCCGTCACCACAACCTTTAAGACAGAGGATGAATAAACTCAGGGGCATGGAGAAGGCAGCAATTTGCCTGCAGTCACACAGTTTGTGAGATGCACAGCAGATTCAAAGCCAGAGAAGTCTGGTTCTCAAGTCCATATTCATAACCACGATGCTATGTGCTTCTCAAACATTCTCAACACCTGTCCAGGCTACAGGGAGACGTCAGTGAGCAAATCCAGCAAGGTCCTGCCCCAGTGGTGGTTTACAGTCCAGTGGGAGGCCACAACTGACAATTCCAAAAGGTCGTTTCCATGGCAGGAAAGACCAGGTGCTGAGACAGTGCCAGGTGTGCTGATGAAGAGGAGGAATGAGTCAGCTGAACTCCTGAACTCCCCTTGTCTTTTTTTTTTTTTTTTGAGACGGAGTCTTGTTCTGTCGCCCAGGCTGGAGTACAGTGGTGCGATCTCGGCTCACTGCAACTTCCGTCTCCTGGGTTTAAGCAATTCTCTGCCTCAGCCCCCAAAGTAGCTGGGATTACAGGCGCCCGCCTAATTTTTTTTTGTATTTTTAGTAGAGATGAGGTTTCACCACCTTGGCCAGGCTGGTCTTGAACTCCTGACCTTGTGATCCACCCGCCTCGGCCTCCCAAAGTGCTGGGATTACAGGCGTGAGCCACCGTGCCCAGCCGAACTCCCCTCATCTTCTAAGCCCCACCCAGGGTTGGCTCCTCAGTGGTGCCTCCTTCTGGGTAGACCGTGTCACTCCTCATCCTGCACCATGACAATAACAACATCATGGAGAACAATGACAGCCATCATTCAGTGAAGAAGTGTCAGCCTGTGCAGGATGCTCGGAGGACCTCCATTTGTGTCACCTCCCCACATCCCCAACTGTCGTGGGGGCAGCCAATGTGCAGAGGTTTGTGACTTGCTAGATGCAAAGCCAGGCCTGCGTGCTCCAAACTTGTGTGCTCTCCACTCTGCTCTGTCCCTGTGAAGACTGCCTCTGCCTGCCTGGGGCAGACCTTCTGGGGCCCACCTTCTGGTGCAACAGAGCAGAGGGGGGCATTACATACTTTTGGAATGACCGACTGAGGCTCTGCACTGCCTAGGTGCTCAGTTCGATGCTGACTGCCCCTGCCTACCCTGCCTTCCCAGAACAACAATCACTGTATTTCACTGATTAGCCACCAGGCTAAGGACAGAACAAGAAAGAGTCTGGCTGTTTTGAGACATCGTGGAGCTGTCAAACCCACCCTGAAACTGCCAACCTTCAGGCTTCTTGCTAGGTAAACAAAGTGCGTTGTTGTGGTGGTTTCAGACTCTGCTGGTTGCGTTTCCTGTTACCTGCAGCTCAAAGTATTCGTGATTAATATTCCTCTTTAAGGAGTGAGGTCCAGCTGCCCTGGCCTTCCCACGGGACTGCTCCGCGGTGGACAACTACGGCATGGACCTGAAGGCACCGGGCTCCACTGAAGCCCTCGGGAGCCGGCACTGAGACCTGGCCCAGTCCTTCCTCCCACTCCCACTCACCAGCTCAGCTGATCGCCCGCAGCCACCCCATCACCCTCCTCAGGCTTCTGTGCTTCTGAACACACTGCCCTTCTTCCAGGAAGAAATGTGCTCCTCCCCACCTCAACTCGTGCTCCTAAGCCCAGATCAAAGGTCAGGTCTCCTGGTGGAGTCTGCCCTGACACCCCCCACCCCGCCAGGGCCTATTCCTTCCAGCTAGCAGCCAGTAGCATTTTCCACAGACCACAACTCTAAGCACTGCTTAGTGGAGTGATTAAAATAACTCTGTTGGGCGATCTCTTTGTTTCTACATCTCTCTCTCCCAGGAGTCTGTGAGCTCTTTAAGGGTGGCGGTTATAGCTCACAAATGGACTAACTGTCTACCCCAGATGGGACCTGGGCCATGATAAACCTGCAGTACCTGTTTGCTGAATGACTGAATGAAAGATGAGGCTGTATTCACCAGCACAATAAACCTTTATAACAGTGTAAATGAAACACCTCCACACTTGGGCACTCATTGATCCCTTACTAGCTATTGTGTGGAAATCCTAATCCTTCTTCCAACTTGCAATCCTCTGAATACATTTTTTTTTTGAGACAGAGTCTCACTGTTGCCCAGGCTGGAGTGCAGTGGCACGATCTCGGCTCACTGCAACCTCCAACTACTGGGTTGAAGTTCACCTGCCTCACTCGGCCTCCCGAGTAGCTGGGACTACAGGCGTGTGCCACCATGCCCAGCTAATTTTTGTATTTTTAGTAGAGACAGGGTTTCACCACATTGGCCAGGATGGTCTCGATCTCTTGACCTCGTGATCCACCCGTCTTGGCCTCCCAAAGTGCTGGGATTACAGGCGTGAGCCACCGTGACCCTTTGAATACTTTTAAAAAGTACCACGTCCCTCCTTAATCTGTCCTCCAACATCCTCAGGACCTGTGACCACTCCACTCTGATAATGATCTCCAGAGCCTTCACCCTATTCTGACCGACCCCTCTGGATATAGGCCAGCCATGCTGTCCATCTGGAAATGCAGTGTGGGAACCCACACGCCACATTTACCTGTCCTTGCTAGATACTGTATTTCTATTACTGTACTCAGTGACTATGTGAAATTTTTATTAACCCTACCATGTGGAGCTGACTCCAATAGTTGTGGAAGATGCTCCCCCTGGGCTCACAGCATTTAGCTTTTCTAGACCCCCTTGCAGCCAGAAGTAGCCCTGGGACTTCTGGCCACAGAGATGGAAGCGGGTGTCTCTTGGGCGGCTCCTGGGGAAGGTTTTGCTTTCTTGGTAACAGAGACACAGACAGTTGGTACTTTCACCTGTGCTTCCTACCGTGAGAATGCAAGCACGAGGATGAAACCAATGTGGTCAAGAAGGTTAGGCAGAAATACAGAAGAAGCCACTACTGAACGAATTCATTCTAGATGGACACAGATGTTGTCACTCAAAGGGAAACCCAGCAGGTCTCTCAGTTCTCTCTCTTTTTTTTTTTTTTTTTGAGATGGAGTCTCACTCTGTTGCCCAGGCTGGAGTGCTGTGGCACGATCTTGGCTCACTGCAACTTCCGCCTCACCGGTTCAAGCGATTCTCCTGTCTCAGCCTCCAGGGTAGCTGGGATTACAGGCGCCCACCACCACATCCAGCTAATGTTTGTATTTTTAGTAAAGATGGGGTTTTACCATGTTGGCCAGGCTGGTCTTGAACTCCTGACCTCAGGCGATCTGCCTGTCTTGGCCTCCCAAAGTGCTGGGATTACAGGTGTGAGCCACTGCGCCTGGCCTCTTTCAGTTCTAAGGGGGAATCGGTGAGATGGAAAAGTTGGGAGGATGGGATGCAGACACAGACAAATCCTGCCCAGACTCCAGCACCTACCAGCTGTGTGAGCCTGGGTAACTCCTCGGCCTCTCTGTGCCTCAGTTCCTCCTCTACAGAATAAAGATGACCAAAGCACTCACCTTCCAGGGATGTGTGAGGAGGAGTGTATACATTTCAAGCACCAAAATAAATGCTATCCTCTACAAACATATCAACCACAACATGATTGAGAATTTCAAGCACCCCATAAGAGATTTTTAAATCACAAATATGCAGAAGCTATTTTTTTTTCAGCCAGAAACTTGTCTTGAAAACTATTTTCCAAAGGAATAACTCTTTCCAGACCCAGCGTGGAAAGTTCCATCCATCTCCTAATTTGCTGAGCCACCCTTCCTCAAAACCCTGGCTGCCTCTCCCCTGTATTTTTTTTAACCATAAACCACAAGAGAAACCCTAAAATACCTTACAGAGGGTATTGCTTCCGCAACCCACAATGTTAAAGTCGATGTAACTAACTATAGTACCTAACAAAAGGAAATGTCAGTGAGATAAAGAAAGGTTTTCTAAAACTCCCCAGGTAAGAAGTGAGGCTGTGAAGGCAGAGGCTTGAAGTGGCTGGCTGAGGTACAGATGGCATTTGTTTTCACTCCCCACTTGGGAGTGTAAAAGGTATTGCTGACAATCTGGATGGTCAGGGGTGGAGTGGGCTTTGTATTAGTCAGGGATCTCTAGAGAAAAGGAACTAGGCTGGCTGTGGTAGCTCATGCCCGTAATCCTAGCACTTTGAGAGGCCAAGGCGGGAGGATCACGAGGTCAGGAGTTCAAGACCAGCCTGGCCAACATGGTGAAACTCTGCCTCTACAAAAAATATAAAAATTAGCCAGGTGTGGTGGCACGCGCCTGTAGTCCCAGCTACTCAGGAGGCTGAGGCAGGAGAATTGCTTAAACCTGGGAGGTGGAGGTTACAGTGAGCCAAGACTGCCCCACTGCACTCCAGCCTGGGAAACAGAGTGAGACTCCGTCTCAAAAAAAAAAGAAAAAAAAAAAAAAAGAGAAAAGGAACTAGCAGAAAGAAAGAGAGAGAGAGAGAGACAGACACACACACACACACAGGAGAAAGAGCGAGCGCTTAAGGAATTGGCTTATGCAGGTGTGAAGGCTTAGCAAGTTGAAAATCTGTAGGGTGAGCTGGCAGGCTGGAGATCCAGGAAACAGATGCTGTCCAAGTGCAAGGACAAGGGGAGCCTGCTGGCCAAGTTCCCTCTTGTTCTGGGGAGGTCAGTCTTTTTCCTATTCAGGCCTTCAACTGATTGGACGAGGCCCACCCATGTTATTGAGGGCAATACGCTTTACGCGGGTCTGGTGATTTAAATGTTAATCTCATCTAAGGCATACGTTCACAGAAACATCTAAAATAATGTTTGACCAACTATCTTTCTCCCCTGGCCTAGCCAAGTTGACACATAAAGTTAACCACTACAGGGTTTATACTGCACCAACACAAACAAGTTCAAACAGTAGACCCCTCTGTCTGTCCCTAAATTCTCTGTCTGTCTCAGCCCCTGTGGTCTGGCTGGTTCTTCTCTCCCCCTCCCTTCTCCCCTGGCTCCGTCCTTCCCTTCTGGGAAGACTCCAGGCTCCGTCCTTCCCTTCTCTACCTTCCCCAGCAGGAGCGAGGCCCAGTTCCCCTCCTCAGGGCTTGCACAGTGGTTCTCCACCGCACTTTGCAGTGCTCTATCAACTTCTAAGTTTCCCGTGTCCCTTGAGGAGGAGACCTGGGGGACACAGCCGGGAAGGGGCGGAGCTGGCACCTGAACCCAGCTCTTCTGATGCGGAGACTAAGCTGTGACCCCATTTCAGGCTGCTTACGTCCCAGTGATCAAAATGAGCTACCTGGGATCATGCCAGGTGGGCTCATGGGCAAACTTAAAGACATTTTTAGAGGGACATTAAATTTTTCCTCTCCTGCATTATTTACTTTAATGCAGGATAGGAAAAAAACACGAACATCAAAGCCATGATTTCATGGATATAATTATATAGGATGAGGTCAAATTTTAACAGATAAGCTAATGAAAAGAAAACCCTACGAAAATAATAATGAAGGTGGCATGGGGGTAGACACAAATCACAAATGAGCTACATGAAAGACAGAAGTTTGGAGGGCACTGGCCTAGATCAAGATCTCCTTAGTAAGGCAGTAAAGAGTTAAACTGTCCTGAATCCCCCTGCTTCTCATGGGGTGATGGCCTCAAGCTAATTAGGAGACACTGAGGGTTTGGGTTTTTTTTTTTCTAAAACCAGAAGAGTGGAAGTCTGGGACTATACTCTTATTTCTTTGAGCTCACTAAGGGAATAAAACCTATTCACCAGTTCTATCCATAGGGGAAGGCAAAGGCCTTAATTTCCAAGTAAGAATCTGCTCCTCCCCACAGCCTGAAACCTGACCTGTCTGTGAATGTGGTGGCCACCCAGCCAGTGACCGCTCATTTGCCAGGGACACAAAGACCATCACAAAGGCTGCACTGGAGTCAGAATCTTGGGCTGGCACTTAGCTTGGCTACTAACTTAGACTGGGTCCCAGGAATGATAACACCAGTGAAAAATCACAACAGCTAATAATTACAGAGACTTCCTGTCTGGCAGGAAGTGCTTTATAGCACAACAACACGACAGCCCTATCTGATAGGTGCTATTATTATCCTCATTGTACAGACGAGGACATTGAAGAACAGAGAGGTTAAGTAACTTGCTCCTGGTAACAAAGCTGTTGAGGACTGAACCAGGACTCAGACCATTCAGTCTGACTCAAGCTCACCCTGGGCTCTACTAATATGTGTACAGCTGATACAAAGCCCTTTCTAGACAAAGCTCTGTCATCCTCAAGACAGAAACTTGGGGATCTAATGTGGGTCCTGTACTTACGGATCAGGAAACAGAAGCTTCAAGATATTAGGGCTCACATGGGCACACTGTGGGGATAAGCACCCTCAAGCATCCCCAGTGTGGGTGCTCTGGTACCCCACTTTGAGGAACAGTGTGCTCCATCATTCTGCCTCTGGCCAGCTGCTCCGATTCAGAAGTCAGCAAACTATGAACCCATATGCCAAATTCAGTCTGTTTTGTATGGTACTCGAGCTACAGATGGTCTTTATATTTTTAAATAGTTGGGAAAAAAAAAAGCTGAAGAAGAATAATATTTCATGATATGTGAAAATTACGTGAAATTCAAATTTCATTGCCCATAAATATTTTTATTTATGCACAGTCATTCTCATTCATTTACCTATGGCCTATGTAGCTGCTTTTGTGCTATAATGGCAGAACTGGGTAGTTGCAGCAGAGACCATCTGGTTCACGAAGCCACAAGTATTTACTATCTGGCCCTTTATAGAAAAAGCTCACTGACCCTGGTCTAGTCTGCTAACCAACACAGGAATCCTCTTTATAGTCGCCCTCCCCACCCCGGCTTCTGCCTTCACAGCTCCAGTGGTGGGGAGCTCACTACTGAACAAGGCAGCCAGTTCCATCTTTGCAAGGCTCTGGGGATAGCTATTTATACTGAAACCGAACTGCTTATTCCTGTAACCACACACCATGCCCTTGGAGCCCTGCACATTCAGTTCTATCAGTCCTCCCCAGCACCCATCAGTTTTTTTTTTTTTTTTGAGATTGAGTCTCACTCTGTCACCAGGCTAGAGTGCAGCGGCGTGATCTTGGCTCACTGCAACCTTCGCCTCCCAGGTTCAAGTAATTTTCCTGCCTCAGCCTCCCAAGTTGCTGGGACTACAGGCGTGTGCCACCACGTCCAGCTAATTTTTGTATTTTTAGTAGAGACAGGGTTTCACCATGTTGGCCAGGATGGTCTCAATTTCTTGACCTCGTGATCCACCCGCCTCGGCCTCCCAACGTGCTGGGATTACAGGCGTGAGCCACCGTGCCTGGCCCGCCATCAGTTTCTTTCTTCCCTCTGGCATCAACCCTTCCCTGTCCCTATATATGACCTCTGTCGTTCCTTACCAATCCTCTGGGAAGCAGAGGGAGAATGACAGCACCTCTGTGTTGCCAATAGGGGAGATGGGCAATGGAGAGGGACCGTGACATAGTTAGGAGCAGAACCAGAGCTGGAACCAGGTGTCCCGCCTCCCAGCCTGGTGTCTCCTCAACATCGCTTAAGTGTCCACTTTCCAGCCCATCATTCCCCAACTGGCCCCCAAGGGCCTGAAGTGGTCTCTCACTTCTGTGATTCCTTCCTGTGGCTCCCCCGGCTTGGCTTTTGTGGATTCAAAGACAGCTCTCTCTGACTTTTTCACTTTTCCCCTCCAGGGCTCAGTCTTCAGGCTCTGGGCTCTTCTCCCCTCACACCCAGCTCCCACCACCCCAACCACTGAGGCTCATCCCCAGGGACTGCCCATATTTACCATCTCTGTTGTTTGCAACTTACTGTTGGCAATCAGCTAGGATTTGGACTCCAAGTGCTTAGGGGTAAGCTGACAGCCAGAAATGGAAAATGGGTTTCTTGATATCTGTCTATAAAACAGAGCCAGTAGGCCGGGTGCAGTGGCTCACGCCTGTAATCCCAGCACTTTGGGAGGCCGAGGTGGGTGGTTCATGAGGTCAGGAGATCGAGACCATCCTGGCTAACACGGTGAAACCCCGTCTCTACTAAAAATACAAAAAATTAGCCAGGTGTGGTGGCGGGTGCCTGTAGTCCCAGCTACTTGGGAGGCTGAGGCAGGAGAATGGCGTGAACCCGGGAGGTGGAGCTTGCAGTGAGCCGAGATCGCGCCACTGCACTCCCGCCTGGGCGACAGAGTGAGACTCTGTCTCATAAAAAACAAAAAACAAAAAACAAAACAGATCCAGTAAGATTTGTCTGCAGAGAATATCTGGAAAGGGTTTGAAATCCTTGAAAGAAGAGGGCTGTGACAACACCAGCTGGTACAAAGGATCTGGAATCCTCTCAGCTACGGGTGCTGCCCTTGGGAAGCTCCCCTACTCATCGATGAGGGGAGGGGCCTGCAAGTGTGAGACCCATGTACATGTCCTTATCTGAGGGTAGAATAAGAGTTGTGGCTCTTGGAGGGTGGGACAGACATCAATTCAAAAGAAGCACTGGGCAGCTCGAGGCAGTGTGGTGAGGGTACAAAAGAAGACCTGGGTCTGGATTCTGACCTTGAGTGGCTGTGGAACCCTGGAAAGCGATGCTTTCTCTTAGACTGACTTTTGGTGAAATGGGAAAAAAATAGCAAAACCGCACAGGGTCACCATGAGATTAATACCCAGGACGCTAGCAGAATACCTGGCAGAGTTATTATGGTGTTTGCTCACAAAATGTTACTTTCCTTTTCTCCCTTCCTCCTTCCTGCTATGTGCCAGGCACCGTGCTAGGTGCTGAGGGTCTGGAGAAATAAGGCACAGTTCCTGCTCTCAAGAGGTTCAGCCTAGCTGTGGAGACAGACATGCACAACCACTAACAGAGTGGGACGGTGGCATATTAGTATAATGAGGGTAGAAATAATAAAAATAAGCCAAGCGTGGTGGCTCACACCTGCAATCCCAGCACTTTGGGAGGCTAAGGTGGCTGGATCACTTGAGGTCAGGAGTTCAAGACCAGCTTGGCTAACATGGTGAAACCCCATCTCTACTAAAAATACAAAAATTAGCCGGGCATGGTGGTGTGCACCTCTAATCCCAGCTACTCGGGAGGCTGAGGCAGGAGAATCACTTGAACCTGGGGGGCAGAGGTTGCAGTGAGCTGAGGCTGTGCCACTGCATTCCAGCCTTTTTTGAGACTCTGTCTCAAAAAAAAAAAAAAAAAAGAAATAATAAAAATGATGATGGTGATGATGACAGGAAGAGCTAATGTTTCCATACACTCACACTGTGCGAGACACTCTCAGAGGACTATCTTGTTTCATTCCAGCAACCACCCTGTGAGGCAGATGCTGTTAGTAACATTCTACCAAGGAGGAAGCGGAGATTCAGAGCCCAAAGTCATAGGGCAAGGGGGCCTGAGGATCTAGGATAAAGGGAGAGTAAAAGAGCAACGTCGGGCTTGGGGCAAGCCTCAGGGAGGAGGTGATGATGCCCTGTACTTTGAAGGGTGATCTGGAGCTCCTCAGTGGGGGCACAGGAGCAAGCAACCCAGGCAGAGGGACCAGCAAGCACAAAGGGGTGTGTGTGTGTGTGTGTTGGGAGGGGAGGTGGATGAGAACTTTGTGATTCCAGTGACTGACACTCATTCCTGATTAGCATCATTAGAATCACCATCTGAGGGATGTCAATTCCATATGGCTCTACAGCTCTACTATCAACAAGGGCATGGGAGTCGGCAGGCTTGAGAAGAGATGGTACTCCTGCAGCAAGGAGGGGCCTGGTTTACAGAATTATAAGCAGCTATACTGTGTCATCAGTAATCACAGCCAGGGAGCAGTACTTCCTCCGCCTCTTTATCTAAAAGAATATGGAATACTGAGGGGATTAACTCAAACTCTTAATTCTACTTTTGGAGCCTCTTCAGCTTTGGTTTAAATTTCAATGACTCAGTTTTGCTGTCAATTTACTGGGGTCTTGGATGAGTCACAGCCTCCACTTTCCCCTCTCTGGACCTTAGTCTCCGCCAGTGTAAAATGAAGGGGATGGGCTGGAACAGCATTAGCATTACCCGGGAACTCAACAGAAATTCACATTCTAGGCCGGACACGGTGGTCATGCCTGTAATCCCAGTACTTTGGGAGGCTGAGGTGGGTGGGTCACCTGTTCAGGTTTGAGACCAGCCTGGCCAACATGGAGAAACCCCATCTCTATTAAAAATACAAAATTAGTCGGGTGTGGCGGAGCGTGCCTGTAATCCCGGCTACCTTGGGAGGCTGAGGCAGGAGAATCGCTTGAACCCGGGAGGCGGAAGTTGCAGTGAGCCAAGATGGTGCCATTGCACCCCAGCCTGGGCAACAAGAGCGAAACGCAGTCTCAAAAAAAAAAAAAAAAAAAAAAGAAAAAGAAAAAGAAAAAGAAAAAAAAAGAAATTCACATTCTAGAGTCCCACCGCAGACCTGGAGAGTCAGAAACTCTGGGGTTGGGGCCCCGACATTATTTAACAAGCCCTCCTAGGAATTCTGATGAGAACCACTGGGTTAGAAGATCCCCAAGGTAAGGCTCTTTTACCTGCAAAATTCCATTTGTGCTTTAAGGTATTATGATTTAGTAGCATTCTCTTTGCACAGAAGTATTTCTTGCCCAAGAAAGGCAACGCTTCAAGGTAAGAAGAGAAGTTTGCTTTGATTAGCTGAAATCCAGAACCCAGGTGAGCTTTTCCAGAAAGCCTTAAGAGTATGTGGCTGACTTTGAAGCCAGGTCTTTTATTTACTTGTTTATTTTTAAGTAGTAAGTCTTAAACTTGGCATGTGATAAAAGCAGTGGTTTCTGTAGTCAGAGAAATATAGATGAGAGGAGAGCTGCCTTCTCTTTTCAGCTCCAAAAAACCATGACTCACTGTGGGGTGGGTGTGTGTCCGGGGAGGGCAGGGGTCCTTTGAGAGGGCAGTTCCTCTCCCTGGTTCAGGAGCTTCCTGGTGTGTAAATCCTGGACTGCCACCTCCCCCTTGGAGAGCATTGATTACAAAACCTCGGAAGAGCCACCGACAGCCACGGTGGCGATTACAACACAGAGCCGGGTCGACAAGCTTTCGTGAGGTTTCGCAAGACACTAAGAATGGAAAATATGTCTCATCTTAAAGTTTTCCCAGTCTGGACTTAAGACGAAAAGTCGTCATCAAAAAAGATGAAGAGTAATTTCACGGTAATGCGATGGTTTCTTCATGCAAGAATGCGGAACACCCAAACCATCCTCCGGAGAAGTGTGGCTGTTTGGGTGAAGGCATGTCGGTTCTCATGGTGTTGGTGCCCAAGAATGAGCACCTATGAGATCTACTGCCAAGCGATTTCCAGGGATTCCTAACCTTCACTTGGTGATCTCAGGAACAACGTGTGTGTGTAAATACATATAATATATATGTATGTGTATGTATATGTATGTTTGTATGTGTATATTTTTATATATATGTGTGCGTGTGTGTGTGTGTATGTGTATGTGTTTCAAGAGATGGGCTCTCCCTGCGTCGTCCAGGCTGGAGTACAGTGGCGCCATCAGGGCTCACTGCAGCCCTGACCTCCCAGATCCAATAAATCCTCCCAGCTCTGCCTACCGAGTGGCTGGGTGCACAGGCACGCACCACCACGCCCGGCTAATTTCTGTATTTTTTTTTTTTTTTTTTTTTGTAGAGACGGGGTCTCGCCATGTTGCCCAGGCTGGTCTCGAACTCCTGGGCTCAAGCGATCTGCCCGCCTTGGCCTCCCAAAGTGCTGGGATTACAGGCGGGAGCCACCGTGCCCAGCCCAGTGATAATAAATATTACAACTGTTTTTTTTTATATGGCACTGGCCATGTACCAGGCATTGTTCTAAGTATTTCACATTTATTAAGGAATTTAATCTTCACAACAAGCCCACGGAGGTGGGGACCATTATTGCCCGCCAACTACAGGTGAGGAAACCTCGGCCCAGGGAGGCTGCGTCACAGAACTGTGAGTATCCTGTCACCAGGGTGCAGAGAACCACGGACCAGCAGACAGGCGCCAGGTGCCCTGGGCTTGGCTTGGCCCGAGTTCCCGGCTGCCCCACCTACGGAGCACCGAGATGGGCTGACCAGGAGGGTTTGTCCGACCACTGTCTGCTCAGGTTCTGAGAGTCTGTGCGGGTCCATTTGAGGTTGGGTCGAGAAAAGAGCCCAGGCGGACACGTCCTGAGACCCGGGTCTGTGAGGCCTGGCCGCGGGCTGTCCGGCGCTGGGCCCCTCTGGCCAGTTGGCCCCAAGACGCCAAGCCCGGGGCTTCGCGGTCCTGGGAGAAGGGACTTCTAGCCCTTCTCAGGTGTCTGTGTCCGGAGGGCCCGGTGAGCCAGGAAGGAGCTGGCCAGAGCCCAGGCGGCGGGACCCAGCAGAGTGGCCCAGCCACTGCCAACCACGCAGTCCCTTTAACCACGAAAACTTTCTCCCTCGATTGGGGACCCCAGCAGACGCACATTGGCTGCGCCGTGGGCATCCGGACCCACCCTCTCTCCTTACCTACTGGCTGTCATATACATCTATCACAAGCCAAGGCTTCCTAATGGCCCAAGTTCTTGTCAATCAAGAGTGGGAGGAAAGCTGGGCGGAGCCAGGTCGGAGAGCTACACGCCAGCCTCCTTGCCCTCCCTGCCTCCGTGACTAGGCACCCGGAGGCTTCCCAGGGGACCGAAGCTGGGTGCGGAGCACCGGGGCGGAGCTGTGGGGGGCTCCAGGGACTCACCGATGCGCTGTCCCACTGGAGAGCTGAACGGGTTCCCCAGGAGAAAGTCCATTGCTGCTACCGCCGCTGCCACCAACCCCGGGAATCAGCTGACAGCAACCGCCAGCGCCACCGACCCGTCACGTGACGCACTCGGAGGCCGGCGAGGAGGCGTGGGCGGGGCGGTGGCACCGCGAAGCTCGACCACAAGCCCCGCCCTGAGACGCCAGGGTCCCGCCCCCGAGGCGGAGGGCGATGACCTCACTGCGGCTTGCTCGGCGGCGGCGGGCGTCACACACGATGTAGGGTCTGGGGTCGGGGCCCGGGAAGCGCGGTCCTCTTTAAGCCACGCCCCTGACCTTTTAGGGCGAGGTCTAAAGGACCCTTTACACATTTGGGAAACTGGGTCGTAGACCAGGGAAGTGACTTGGGTGAGTTACACAGAAGCCGAGACTCTTAGGGTCATAGCCCTTAGTCCTTGGGACCTCACTGTGACTGCACACCTACCCTGGGTGACAGCCTCTCTGGGCTGTTGTCTCCTTGTCCCGGTAAGACTCTTCCTGTTTGATGTCAAGGTCTCCCCGCTCCAAGATGCACCCTGCTCGCAGCCCAAATTATCTTACCTTAAATCAGAGGCAAGGGCAAGGGGTTTGTCATCTGTTGAGACTGAGAGGCAATTTAATGAATTGCAGCGCAATTCCCTCTAGCGCCCAGGATGGCAAAAAGCACAGATGTAGTCACGAGTGGGGCTTTAATACCCGTCTCTGCCATAAATTTACTGTGTGAGCCAAACATAGCTCCCATTTTCTCTAGATACTGGAATTAGATCAAGGACTCGTAACCATTTTTAAAAAATATTTTATTTAGGTCACAGTCTCCTTTGAGAATTTGACAAAAGCCATGAGCCTTTCTGAAGAAAAAAGGCAGCGATACAATTTTGCTTATAACCTCAGGGAGTTTCTGGGGTCCCTGAAGTACAACCGTGGACCCCAAGCTAAGAATCTCAAAGGCCTTTCCCAGCGTTGTGATTCTAATCTCTTCAGCCTTCCTGGCTGTGTGTGGTGTGTCTGCTGACACCTACACACTAGATACCTATCTATGGGTTATGACCTTTTCTTCTGGCATGTACTCCAAAAATACAATAACCATGGCCTTAGTAGTCTGGCTACTGTGGGTGCTTAAGTACTTATTGTGATGTTTGTGGTTTTTAAATCTGAAAGGCTAGTAAATTGACTGCACAAATTTTGGATGACAGAAAACCTAAATTAAGCAAGGTGTGGTGGCTCACGCCTGTAATCCCAACATTTTGGGAGGCTGAGGCAGGTGGATCACCTGAGGTCAGGCATTCAAAACAAGCCTAGCCAACATGGTAAAATGCCGTCTCTACTAAAAATACAAAAATTAGCCAGGTGTGGTGGTACACGCCTGTAGTCCCAGCTACTTGGGAGGCTGAGGCATGAGAATTGCTTGGACCCAGGGGGGCAGAGATTGCAGTGAGCTGAGATCGTGCCACTGCACTCCAGCCTGGGTGACAGAGTAAGGCTGTGTCTTAAAAAAAAAAACAAACCTAAATTAGAACTTAATCACCTCTGTAGATTCACTTGTTTGAGCAGCCATGGGGTCCGATGTCTTTACTGTACAATATAAAAACTGCTTTGAAGTGTTTCCACAACACTCATGAGACCTGTTCACAAATGCCTTTGCCCCCACGAGTCTGGATGTCCCTGGGGGCTGGGCTACTATTTCTGTTTTGCTCCCCACTATTGTCTAACCCAGTAACTAGCACATGAAAGCTTAAATAGATCTACGTTTCAGTAATGGTATTTGGAGTATAAGCGGGGAGAAGGCCATTTAAGATGACCTTCAGGTCAAGGCACTTTCCATGTCTTTCTTCACTTAACCTTATTGCTTGGTCATATGGAGTTATGTTTAGCATGAACTTCTTTTGGATTCTTCCATTAACCTTTATTTATTTATTTTTAGAGGCAAAGTCTCACTATGTTGCCCAGGCTGGTCCTTGAACTTCTGAGCTCAAGTGATCCTCCCACCTCAGCCTCCCAAAGCCCTGGGTTACAGGCATGAGCCACCATCTCTGGCCCTTCCTTTAAGCTTTTAACAAGTTCTTGTAAACTTTATTCATGGTAAAAAAAAAAAAAAAAAAAAACAAAAAAAAACAAAAACAGAGACAACTCATATGCCCCCAAACAGGAAGTGGAATCATAAACTCCATGCAGGCTGGGCACGGTGGCTCACACCTGTAATCACAGCACTTTGGGAGACCCAGGCAGGCAGATCACGAAGTCAGGAGATCAAGACCATCCTGGCTAACACGGTGAAACCCCATCTCTACTAAAAAAATAGAAAAAATTAGCTGGGCGTGGTGGTGGGCGCCGTGGTGGGCGCCTGTAGTCCCAGCTACTCGGGAGGCTGAGGCAGGAGAATGGCGTGAACCTGGTAGGCGGAGCTTGCAGTGAGCAGAGATTGCACCACTGCACTCCAGCCTGGGAGACAGAGCGAGACTCCGTCTCAAAAAAAAAAAGAAAAACAACTCCATGCAAACTGATTACTATATAGCTATTGAAACAGAAATGGAAGTATATGGATTTATTTATTTATTTATTTTTAAAGACAGAGTCTCTGTCACCCAGGCTGGCGTACAGTGGTACAACTGTAGCTCACCGTAGCCCTGATCTCCTGGGCTCAAGTGTCTTCCCACTTCAGCCTCTTGAGTAGGTGGGACTGCAGATGCATGCCACCATACCTGGCTAATATCTTTTAGTTTTTGTAGAGATGGGGTTTTGCTATATTCTCCAGGCTGGTCTCAAACACCTGGCCACAAATGATCCTCCTGACTTAGTCTCCCAAAGTGCTGGGATTACAGACACGAGCCACTGCACCTGGCCAGTATATGGATTTTATCAACATAGTAGATAGGGATGTAAATGGCAAACATTAAAGTTAGTACAAAACTGATTAAAACTGTCTTTAAAAAGTGTGCTAATAAGGAGCAAACTGATTTAGTAAAAAGTGTTTCAATTTACTTTTTAAGTGTTTTAGTAAAATTAATATCATGCCTTACTGAGGGTTAAAATGTTCAAATTTCTTAAGATTGACAGTCTGCATAAATGTAATCTATTAAATCCTTTAAGTGCTTACAGACAAAAATCAAGATACCTTGCCTTCAAAATTTAAAGACAATAGTATGACAAGAGTGAAAGCCAGCTAGATACCCGAACAATGCAAAGATCTGAGACAGCATTCCCACAATCACATTCGCTCAGGACTTGAGATAATGGAAAGCATTCTGATGAATTATAGACATGATTTAAATCTGAAAGTAGCTTGGGGTAGAAAAGAGCCTAGGGTTTGGGGTCAGCTGTTTCACTGTTCTTAATCTGCCTTTGCCATTTACTAGCAGTATAAACTTAGGAAAAGTACTTTTTCGCATCTATAAAGGGAGATAATATTCTTAAGGCTTTGGGCGGAGGATGAGTGAGACAAAGTATGCAAATCACTCTAATAGTCACTCAGTGATACGGTAGTCTCTTCCTTGCTGCCTTTCCATAAGACATTAGCCTTGTAATTAATCATATTATTTTACTATTTATGACTTTTAACACCTTGTGTTTGCACTGAAGTTTTTACCTTGAAAGGTCATATCTCCATATATTCAGTGTTCATAATGTTATTAAACATTCATGTCAGGCTGGCTGGCTGCAGGTCTACAGACAGGGAAGTGACTTTAACACTATTCTATAGATGGGACTTTGGAAGCCTATAAAGATTAAGTAACTTATCAACAGCATTACTGTAATGCTAACAGGACAGTACTGAAACATATCATTTAGCACATGATTCAGATGCAACCCTTATATAAGATTAATCAACATTTTCTTGATTTAGGCCAACACCATAATGCACATAGTTTCATTTGCCAATAAATGGAGGTGGAATTATCAGATTCACTAAATTTGCAATTTGCAAAAGAGAAAATGAGAACCTCTACAATGTAAAAGTTAATAGAAGCAGAGTAAGGAGTATATTAAGAAAATGGCTAAGATTAGAAATTTAATCTCCATTGTGGGTTGATTTTTTTCTTAAGAAAATTATGGTAGAATAGAGTGAAAAACAGGTTTTATAATTTCATAGCAACTATGATGATCATGATTAGGGAAAAGACAGCTGAGACTGGACTACAAATATTAAAAATGTGATTTTTAATAATATAAGTACAAAATTTTATTTCTTTATACAACTGTAATGGGATTTGGATCAAACCACTAGAATTTATTTAAAAAACAAAATAAAACAATGATATAAAAACTGCAAGAAGGTCTGAATCCAAAGTTTTTCCTCTAATAGTACCAAATACCACAAGGTACAGATTATTATACAAATGTGTACAAATTTTAAATACAAATACAATAGGGCTGGGTTTCAAAGGAAAACAAACAAAAAGCAGGTCCTCATCAGGATTTCATTAATGTATATAAATGACAATGCTAGGATTAATGTCTTCCTATACTATCCATGTCTTCCCCGCCCCTCCTAGATACCCTGTGTCAAACAGGAAACTTCCACAGATACAGAAGAGGCATGGTACAATGTTCTAACACATGAAATCAAGTTAAGATTTCTGTTCCTCTTGATTTTGGTTCTCAAACAATCCTGTTTCTCTGTATTCCCAATTAAATCTTAAAACTGCTCTGAGCTGAGAAAGGGATTCAGCAGCCAGACTACCTTTAAGCAACATAGCCCTGTGACAACACTGGTGGGGAGAAGGGAAGAAATTAAATAGGATGCAGATGGGCTACACTGTCCCCAAAGATTTACTTTGATGCTGTAGTGCTCTGTCAGGGCCAGGAGAAGAAAGCACAGTTAACTCAGAGCTTGGTGTTGGCAGAGAATCTCATACCAAATTTAAAAACCATCCTGAAGTGCTCAACTGTCTTCTTTCCAACTGGGAAACAAACGTCTGGTTCTCTGGAAATAAGGGCAGCTGGGGATGGTAACATTCCTCTTTATTTTACTTTCTAGACATTATTGAAGCCCATGAAGTTCTTTATAAAGAATTAGAATCCTAACACAATGATTCATTTTTGAGGTAAAATACCTTAAAATGTAGATGATTCAGAGTTTTTGGAACAGACCAGGAGGAAGGAAGGAAAGAGGGAAGGAAACAGGGAAGGAAGGAAGGAAAGAAGGGAGGGCGGAAGGGAGAAATGACAAATCTGTATCTTCCACATGCTGTTGCTGGTGGAGGCTTCTGTTATTAAATTATATATACAGAAATTTACAGGATAAATTAAAATCTAAGAGATTTTAAAGAGTTAAATACACATAATTAAAATACACATTCACACACACATAAATAAACCTACAAGAGAGTGAGTTTTGTTTTGTTTTTGCAATTCACTTACATGTGGAATGCAGAACACTGTGTATCTGCCCACCAGGGGAACTGATAAGATGAACCCAAAAATCATGCTGGGCAAAGTTTATCCATAACCACCGAGCAACTAAGCAGCACGGCTTGTGAGGACTTGGTGGCTAACTTCATGCTGCCAGTGAAAGACACCAGCACTTAATTCTGCCGACTAAAGATTCTGGGTTAGCTCAGAATGTATGGAGGTCCAACTGGTGGCATTGACAGCTTCACCCCCCAAGGTGTTTTTTGCTGCCAGGGCTCACAGAACTCCTTGGCCTCTGTTGAGGCCACCAATGGTACCAATGATTACAATAAATTTTGAGACACAGACACCTATACAGTAGGAATTGGAATGAACCCTCTACTCAATTCACCTAAGCCACTTCCATAACTATAAAGGGAACAAATTTTATCACCTCCCACCTAGGTCACTTCAAATTGAAAGGCTTTGAATTTTCAGTCAACTGGCATCTTCCCGTTATCTTTCCTATTACATTTCAGACTAAGACAGGTAAGGCAAATGGTCAGTGATGGGTCTGGAGGTCCAACTGAGCTTGGAAAATAATCACATTTTAGCTGTCCATAAAGAGATGCGCTTGGCACCCAGAACAAGCCCCCAGCCCCCAAGTTACATTGATTTTTAAGGCAGATTTATCCACCACAGGAGAAAAAAGAATCCCAAGCCTGTATTCATGCCAAAATTTCCTCTTGGCTAAACCTTTGCCATTTCATAAAATTATTAAAAGCAAAGTAGTTACAGTCTATGTATATATTGTACATTATATATATATGTATATATGTATGTATAGATATAAAAATTTAAAACCTACAGCCAGAGGCCACTGAAGGAATCTGCAACAGTCATATATACACAAACCAGCAATGGTGTAGGATAAGGTTTCTGTCCCAGGATTCTTTGCTGTCACAGTCCCGGCATGATGTAAGCAATGTTGTCTAATGTGTTTGACTGCAAAACAAAGAAAAATGTTCAACTGAAGAGTACTGTACCTTGGTTTCCTGAGAGATGTTTCTTTGTTCAAGGAGAGAGATAAGAAAAATCAAATGGAGTTAGAAAAACAGGTGAGAATGAAGACGGCATCCTGCTGTTTGTTATGCTAGGAACTTTTCTGCTGACTTCTCCCATTAATCCTCGTAAAAAAGAGGGAAACAATTCCTGTACTGTCTTTGGGTGCAGAATAGCAAACAGGAAACACAGGAATTGTAGTACCTCAAGGGCTAGAATGCTGCTTTCTTAAGTACTGTTTTGGTAAATGGCTTGTTTTCTAGTTTCAGTGAAAGTACAGCATGCATTTGATAATATAGCATCATGTTCCATGGGCCAACAGATGAAGGAAGCACTGTGTGTCACAAAGCCTTATGTGTGTCTGACAGTGCTCATTAAGGCAGGGCATCTCTGACGCCCAATGGATCTGACTCTAAAAATCCAGGGAAAACTCACCAAGACCTGTTTGGGACAGCCATTCAATTCAGGTAGTTGTGTGGTGAGACATGCCAAGGGGCCAAGGGCACAGATAATGGAATCCAGAAGCACTGACAAACTGCCAGACACAGCCACCATACCCTGAAAAGGAGAGGAGGTTGTTGCTTGAGTCACACTCCTGATGCTGTGTTCCGGCTGACTTCCTCACACAGTACTTTAAATCCTAGGCAGTTCTACTCTTATAATTTGAAACTTTACAGCAGAAATGGAAAGTTTACTTTGATAACTCTGTAAGTTGTTTAGAAAGAAAACTTTTACAGCACATTCCCATGTTCCCTTTCCGTAATCCTAGCCCATCTTCTTACCTTCTGAGTGACCTTGGGGAGTTCACATCCTTAACTTCTGTCTCCTTAACAGGAACAGTAAAAAATGCTTTACCTACTCTGGAGAGCTGTTGGTAAGATTTGTGATTATGTATGCAAAGTATATCTGTTATAAACTCGACAAATATAGCTCAGATGTGATTACTATGAGAATCCTACAACCCTGCATGTATGTAGCTTTTGATAGCTGATTATACAATTTTTCTAGGTTGAGTTGTTCACTCTCAAAGTGAATTTGGTTCAAATTTTAACATTTTATGTAATTCATATTGTCTATTTGTGATTCAAAGAGATAAGAAAGACTGTTGCTGCTGCCGAGTTCTTGTATAATCTGCTTTAACTAGAAGCAGTGTGAGAATATGTCATATTGGGAAGCAACACAGCACAGTCCTTAAGAAAATGAGCTCCGGATTCAAGACTGCCCGGGTCCAGATCCTGGCTCCACTACTCACTGTTTTGTACCTAGGCAAGTTGCTTACTATGCTGTGCCTGTAAGATACTAACAGCATCTGCAGCAGATGGGATTGAGATAATAGATATAATATACTTGGGATGGTGCTTAATACATGGTTAAGTACTCAAAAAATATCAGTAATTATGAATATTACTACCAACATCTTGATCTTCAAAACTGCATTTCTGGCTGTCTTTTGGGTCTCTCCTTTTGGATATTTCTCCATCTCAACTTCCTGTAAGGAAGAATAACCTTCCCATGCAAATCTAGCCCTCCTTTGAGCATCCATTTCTCTGCCAAAGTCACCACCATTCACATAACTGCCCAGTCTCAAGGCCTAGCCATCACTGACTCTTCCTTTCCCTCATCCTCCTTGTCAACATCTCCCCCCTATACTTTCTGAGGGCAGCAGTACAGTAAGAGGTTAAGAACCCGGACCTTGAGGTCACATTCCAAATTCAAGTCTCTATTTTACCACTTAGGGGCTAAACTCTAGAGAAAGTGACTTCACCTCTTTAAGTCTGTTTATTCTTCTGTAAAATGGGGGGAACAAATTCTGCCTCACAAAGCTGCAGTGTGAATTAAATGATATAATTCATATTAAGCACTCTGAACCAAAGCTGGGTGAGTGAGCCTTCAATAAAACATTAGTATACAGGGAAGATAATAGCTAAAACCCCAAAAATGTCAGTAATTAGTAATATTGTTCCATTTCCTTTGCCCTATATTTATTTATAGCTAATTTATCTTTGTCACATCTAGACTAGGATTATTGTTTTAACTTCTCCCCAATTCTGGTCTCTTTTCACTTCCAATCTAAAATAAAAGATATTCTCAGAGAAAAGTAAATGAGAGCTCTGATCTCATCCCTTTCCACTGTAAAAACCCCTGTAGTTCCCCAACAGTGAAGTATACACACTTCAGAATGTCTATGAAGTCCCTCTGCAATTTGGGTTCTAGCTTTAACTTTCTTAAGATACACACACACCACACGCCACACACACGCACAATTTTTATTTTTATTTTTTTTGAGACAGGGTCTCACTCTGTTGCCCAGGCTGGATGGAGTGCAGTGGTGTGATCTCGGCTCACTGCAACCTCCACCTCCCGGTTCAAGCGATTCTCCTGCCTTAGCCCCACAAGTAGCTAGGATTACAGGTGTGCACCACCACAACTGGCTAATTTTTGTATTTTTAGTAGAGATGGGGTTTTGCCATGTTGGCCAGGCTGGTCTCGAACTGCTAGCCTCAGGTGATCCTCCCACTTTGGCTCCCAGAGTCCTGGGATTACAGGAACAAGCAACAGTGCTCGGCCTCTAGCCTTAATTTTCTAACTTATGCATTGTATGTTCCAGTTTTACTGCTAAAATGATGAACATTAATTTACTACTGAACATATTATTTTGATAATTATATGTCCATTACGATGTACATTAAAAAAATAGAATATAACCCTTGAGATGTCATGAATGTCACTGTAAAAGCACAGACAAGTTTATTTAAATAAAATTATAAAGTAAGTAAAAGTATTAAGTGGTATGTGGAAATTATAAAATTGCAGAGATCTATGCAAATGATTAAATTCGGGCCAAAAGTGGATTAGAGGGAGAATGGGGAATAACTGCCAATGGGTACAGGGTTTCTTTTTTTTTTTTTTTTTTTTTTTGAGGCGGAGTCTCGCTCCGTCGCCCAGGCTGGAGTGCAGTGGCGCAATCTCGGCTCACTGCAAGCTCCGCCTCCTGGGTTCACGCCATTCTCCTGCCTCAGCCTCTCACAGGCGCCCGCCACCACGCCCAGCTAATTTTTTGTATTTTTAGTAGAGATGGGGTTTCACCACGTTTGCCAGGATGGTCTCGATCTCCTGACCTCATGATCTGCCTGCCTCGGCCTCCCAAAGTGCTGGGATTACAGGCGTGAGCCACCGCGCCTGGCTGGTACAGGGTTTCTTTTAGGGGTAACAATATGTTTTGGAATGAAATAGTAGTGATTCACAATTCTGTGAATATATTAAAAATCACTAAATTCTGCACTTTAAAAGGGTGAACTTTGTACTTACTAAACTAAATGGAAATATCTGGGAAAATTCAGAATACGCTTAAAACAAACTGTTTTTACTTCTAACTTCTTACGAAACGTAAGAATGATTAAATCTGAAAAATAAGTAAGGTCATAGAATACTTCTTCTGGAAATATCTATATCCATTCAGATATCGAGCCTATATGAAGGTGCTGAAGTTCTTTTGACTACTGCTAAAATTTTTAGAAACTAGCCAAAGAATTTAGATATAGCTTCAGCTCTTGTGGCCTTTGGCATTTTATTTGTTGAATAATTCAATTTCCACATTGAAGCAAGTGATTAGTTTTACATTCCTACACTAATTTCTTAGCTTAAAAATGGCTTTAGTAGCTTAGACTGACTTCTTTGCTGAAATGTCTTACTAGAACTTGGTGGAAAGCGGAACTACTATACTAATGAGTTAGCTAAGGGGACAATATTGTTAGAAATTGAATATGGTAATAGAAATGAAACACGACAGCTGTGCAGGTTAAGTGATTTTTGAAATTGAAGCTTAAAAGGACAAAAATCTCCCCAGGGCATATAGCACTGTATAATTTAAGTGCAGAGTAATGGAGAGCTGGGAACCTTAACTTCTCCATTTGTTACCTATTTTCAAAACAGAGGAACTCTTAATCTCCTATACAATTGAATATTCAAGACTTTGCTGGAAATGCAGAGAAAAATTCAAAGTCTCTTAGAAGGAGACAGAAGTAATCAAAACTGCTATGGAATTTGTACTCATCCTTTTTCTTGCCTTTTTGTTTTTGTTTTTTTAAAAAAGATAGGGTCTTGCTCTGTCACCCAGGCTGGAGGGCAGTGCAGCAATCATAGCTTACTGCAGCCTTTGAGCTCCTGGGCTCAAGCAATCCATCTGCCTCAGCCTTCCGAGTAGCTGGGACTACAGGTGTGCACCACCATGCCTGGCTAATTTTTTAATTTTTTGTAGAAATGGGGTCTCGCTATGTTGCCCAGGCTGCTCTCCAACTCCTGGCCTCAAGCGATCCTCCTGCCTTGGTCTCCCAAATTGCTGGGATTACAGACATGGGCCACCGTGCCCAGCCACCACTGCGTTTTTCTTTCTTTCTTTCTTTCTTTTTTGTGATGGAGTCTTGCTCTATCGCCCAGGCTGGAGTACAGTAGCGCAATCTTGACTCACTGCAACCTCTGCCTCCCAGGTTCAAGTGATTCTCTTGCCTCAGCCTCCCGAGTAGCTGGGACCACAGGTGCATGCCACCACACCTGGCTAATTTTTGTATTTTTAGTAGAGACAGGGTTTCACCATATTGGCCAGGCTGGTCTTGAACTCCTGACCTCGTGATCCGCCTGCCTCAGCCTCCCAAAGTGCTGGGATTACAGGCATAAGCCACCACGCCCGGCCCCATTTTTATTTCTTTTAAATTTTTTGAATATATGTATTTTTTGAGATGGAGTCTCACTGTGTTGACCAGGCTAGTCTCGAACTCTTGGCCTTAAGCGATTCTCCCAGGTGGGCCTCCCAAATTAGCATTACAGGCGTGAGCCACTGCGCCCAGCCTCCACTGCATTTTAAAAAAATAAAAATAAGTTACAGGGTACTCCAATTTCTTTTTGTGCCATTGTTTCAATAGGATATCATTAGTGAAACTTTGAGAGCTAACAGGTAGACTGAATATCTCTATAGATATTTCTGTTATTATCATTATATCTTCTATGTTACGCCATCCTGAGAACCTGGCATAATTTAGCATAAAGTAGATGCTCAATACATGTATGTAAAATGAGTGAATGAATCAAAATTATATGGGAAACTATATGGGAAACTGTAGTCATGCTGCTGATAGTTGTATTCACCTCAGTTTCCTGCAGACGGTGTCCAATGAGGCTTAGGGACTCTCCCAACAGCTGAAGATGAGCAGCAACATCAATGGGCTCTGTCTCAGGGGCTTTGGCTGGTGAGGCTGGTAACAGCATGGTGGTGGGTGGGGACTTCTTCTGGGGTGACAGTACTCCTACAGAAGAGGCTGAGAACAGAGCAATGAGGCAGACAGGTAAAACTTGCCTACAGCCTTGAACAACACAAAGTTGTTCTTCCTGATTTTCCCTTTTTATGAATTATACCAGGCATTAGCAAAACTGTGGCCTGTGGGCTAAATTCAGTCTATGGTCTCTTGTTTTTTATGGCCTGTGAGTTAGGAATAGTTTTACATTCTTAAAGGGCTATAGAAAAACAAAGAATATGTGACAGAGAATGCGAGAATGCATACGGCACACAAGGCCTATAATATTTACTCTCTGGACCTTTTTTTTTTTGAGATGGAGTTTTGCTCTTGTTGCCCAGGCTGGAGTGCCATGGCACGATCTCGGCTCACCGCAACCTCCACCTCCCGGGTTCAAGCAATTCTCCTGCCTCAGCCTCTCTGGTAGCTGGGATTACAGGTATGCGCCACCACGCCCGGCTAATTTTGTATTTTCAGTAGAGACGGGGTTTCTCCATGTTGGTTAGGCTGGTGTCGAACTCCTGACCTCAGGTGATCCGCCCACCTTGGCCTCCCAAAGTGCTAGGATTACAGGCATGAGCCACTGCGCCTGGTCTACTCTCTGGACCTTTAAAGAAAAAGTTTGCTGACTTCTGATTTGCATTTTCTAAATTTGAACATCTCTTTTTGGTAGCTTGTAACATTCCCAGGTAATAATACCTGGGAATCAAGGTCCACTTCTAATACTGCAAGCTTTTTTCCCAGTTTCTTAGCAAGGAAGCAAAATTCACATGCTTTAGAGAAAAGCAGGGGCGGGATGTGGTCACTACCTTTGACTTTCATGGAACCTTCTGAGCTGGATGCTTTCCTTTTCACAGTTGTGGCTTCTGCTTTGTTCTGTTTGTGCTGCAGATACTGAGCTTTTTGCTTCCAAATCTGCAATCACATCAGTGAACATTAAATTAAATTAAGAAGGACAAAATGTAAAAGGAAAAGCAGTCATGAAAGAACAAAATGGAGAAAAGAAAGGCAATAGTAAGAGGCGGGCAGACAGAGGGTTAATGCTAACTTTTAAGCTGGGGGTCACCGAACTGACTTCAGACAGCTGACTACATTAATATCTTAGTAAAGGACTATAAACATTCCTCAATGCTAATGGTCAAATCTCGGCACTGATTTTTAGATCACTCTAAGTTGAAATGTAAAATCACAGATTAAACCTCTGGCTCAATATAATGTCTATGTGGTTCTACTAACCTGCTAGTTGGCAATACCAACACAATAGCAGAATAACAATAACAAGGAAAACAAAAACTAAGGATAATCTGGGTGAAGAATGGCTGTTCATCTAGATGACATCTTGCTCCTATATGACCTTCATATCATAAGTCTCAATGATTCAGATATGACTTTTTTTTTTTTTTTTTTTTTGAGATGGAGTTTTGTTCTTGTTGCCCAAAGCTGGAGTGCAATGGTGTGATCTTGGCTCACTGCAACCTCCGCCTCCGGGGTTCAAGTGATTCTCCTGCCTCAGCCTCGCGAGTAGCTGGGATTACGGGCATGCGCCACCATGCCTGGCTAATTTTTTGTATTTTTAGTAGAAATGGGGTTTCACCATGTTAGCCAGGCTTGTCTCGAACTCCTGACCTCAGGTGATCCACCGCCTCAGCCTCCCAAAGTGCTGGAACTACAGGCGTGAGCCACCGTGCCCAGCCCAGATATGACTGTTTATCAGTGTCTTACTACCTTCTTGATAGTAGAGTACATTATTTGGTAATGGTTGATGAGGATGATGACCTTGAACCTGGTTACCTAGTAATCACATTCTCATATTTTTATTGTTTGCAGTGACTGCTAAGTGGATAACTTTCCTCAGTTCTCAGACCATGACTGATTACTAGGTGTTTGCAGTAAAGGGCTCTGATTTTAGACTTTCTTTTAACACTTTAATTACTCCTCAACTTAGGTCATCTTTTGGCTCAAATGTAACACTGCTGGAAAAAACAGACCAGGTTAGAAAAGACAGCCTTGCTATAGCTAAATCCTCATGTACAGTGAACTGGCACTAACAGTGTTAATGTCCTCTGCTAAACCATTTTCTGTTGATTTGTAATTTTCTTCACTATTTTCAGTGCTGTCTGGCTGGCTAGTCTATGGAAGAATTACATATTTTGGAAGGCGAGAAGCACTGAAAAATATGTTTGTAAGAAAATGTACTTACCAGTTTGTCTTTTTCTGGTAATTGCTTCCACACCTCAGCCAGTTTTTTACTAAGTTCCCCAAAATCTGGCATAAAAGAGTAAAACACTCAATACAGTAAAGGGTTAGCTATTAACAAAATAGAAGATTGGTGAAAGCAAAAACTGGAAAAGGGTTTTGAAGCTCATATTTAAATGTTGCAAGATGCTTTCAGAAAACCAACCCCAATCCCATCACTCTTCTTTGATTTTTTTCTATAGGGAAGGGGATGTTTTGATGGTCAGGAGACAGTCTCAACTCGTAACCCATCTACTCCCTAGGGATTTATTCCTTAAGCATCTTTCTGGTGTCTTTTTTTGAGACTGAGTCTGGCTCTGTTGCTCAGGCTGGATTGCAGTGGTGTGATCATGGCTCACAGCAGCCTCAACCACCTGGGCTCAAACCACCCTCTCACCTCTGCCTCCCAAGTAGCGGGACCACAGGCGTGGGCTACCATGCCTAGCTAATTTTTTAAAATTTTTTTCTTTTTTCTTTTTTTTGAGACGGAGTCTCGCTCTGTCGCCCAGGCTGGAGTGAAGTGGCGTGATCTCAACTCACTGCAACCTCTGCCTCCTAGGTTCAAGTGATTCTCCTGCCTCAGCCTCCGGAGTAGCTGGGATCACAGGCGTGCACCACAATGCTTGGCTAATTTTTGTATTTTTAGTAGAGACGGGGTTTCACCATGTTGGCCAGGCTGGTCTCGAACTCCTGACCTCAGGTGATCCACCCACCTCGGCCTCCCAAAGTGTTGGGATTACAGGCGTGAGCCACCACGCCCAGCTATTTTTTAAAATTATTATTTGTAGAGATGAGGTCTCGTTATGTTGCCCAAGCTGCTCTCAAACTCCTGGGCTCCAGCAATTCTCCTGCTTCAGCCTCCCAAAGTGCTGAGATTATAGGCATGAGCCACTGCATCCTGCCTCTGGTGTCTTTAATTTGATCCCACAATACAAGGCCTATCAACTTAGGTTAAAAAATATGTGTAGAATTTGAAAAAAGATGTTAGGTTTTTACCAAATTTCTGAATGATTAGAACCAAAGAAGGATTTCCCTAGAGCAGCTCAGAAGCAATCCTCTAGATGTGTAATCTTACCCTTCCATTGTATAAGAGTTTTATGCTTTATAAAGCATATTCATGTGTGCCTAACACTGCAGTCTTTTGGAGTTGGTAGGGCAGCGATTTTACACATTAGGCAAATGAAATTTGTAGCGGTTAAGTGACATGTGTCCAGGATCTCTGGTATAGTGTTTTTCTTACCTCATTAACTTCTAATACAGAGACAAATACAGTCCCTGACTTATGATGGTTTGACTTTTGATTTTTCAACTTTATAAGGATGCAAAAGCAATATGCACTCAGTAAAAACTGTACTTCTAGTACCCATACAGCCATTCTGTTTTTCACTTTCAGTACAGTATTCAATACATTACATAAGATATTCAACACTTTATTATAAAACAGGCTTTGTGTTAAATGACTTTGCCCAAGTGTATGCAAATGTAAGTGTCTTGAGCACATTTAAGGTGGGCTCAGCTAAGCTGTGATGTTCTGTAGGCTAGGTGTATTAAATGCATTTTTGACTTACAGTATTTTCAATTTTCAATGGGTTTATCAGGATGTAACACTATCATAAGTTGAAGAGCATCTTTACAACAATATAATACAAGATATCTCATTATAACTTTACATCCAAGGGCAATTTAAGGAAAAGGCCAATTGTAGAATCTTGGAAATAAACAATTGTATATTTTTGTGCATTTATGTATGTGCTTTACAACATTTATTTTTACATAGTTTCCCACCTTATCCGTTTAAGAGATATGTATAGAAAGTTCATCTCTTTTACAGATGAGATAAACTAAGGCAAAATCTAAAGTGATTTGCAGAACTGAGGAAAGAAACAAGATTTATGCTCTAATGCTACAGGAAGAAGAAATTAATCGCACTGCTTCAAGATATAAATGGAAAGCAAAAGCGCTACAGATCAGTAATGTTCTTACCTATACCTGGATGGTCAGCCACAATGGTCACGCGATACTCTTTACAGAACACCTGGTAGGCCGACATGTTCTTCTTTTTTGGCTAATGCCGCATAGAAGATACAACAGGGTAAGACTTGATTAGAACCCAGGTTTAGTAACCCTGAATCCATAGTAATAAAATAGAAGGATACCTAAACTTTTTCATCAAGGGAAGAGTTCCAAACTACTAACCAGCTTTCCTAAACAGGATAATATATATATATATATTTTTTGAGATACAGTCTCACTCTGTCGCCCAGGCTGGAGTGCAGTGGCGCAATCTTGGCTCACTATAACTTCCGCCTCCTGGGTTCAAGCGATTCTCCTGCCTCAGCCTTCTGAGTAGCTGAGATTACAGGTGCCTGCCACCACACCCGGGTAATTTTTGTATTTTTAGTAGAGATGGGGTTTCACCATGTTGGCCAGGCTGGTCTCGAACTCCTGACCTCAGGCGATCTGCCCACCTCAGCCTCCCAAAGTGCTGGGATTACAGGCTTGAGCCACCATGCCTGGCCAGGAAAATACATTTTTAATCCATGTTACTTACCACTCAGAGATGAACATCAGTTTTAATTTTAGTAGGTAAAAACCACATGCTAAATTACTTGTAAAGACCTTCCTTCTCCCTATATACAATCCCATGTTACACATTTCTTTCAGAATTAAGTGCTAAGAGAATCTTTACCACTCCTGGGGTGTCTATTTTTCTCATCTTTGAAAATCTGAACCACATAATTTCCTTTTAAACTTTGGAGCCAGAAACCCAAAAGCCAAATCTATGTTCTTTTTGCTTCTCTGGTTTTGATTTCTAATCTTGTAATTTCCCTCATCCTGCTTTTATTGTCATTTGTAGCTTCTCATTATTTGATTGTTCACATTCTTTGGGTTCAAGGTGAGAAGTGAACAAATAACTGAAGACAATTCTTTGGTAGTCACTGTCAGATGCAACGCCTTCACTTCAACAAACAGCTCTGTACTACCTGAGGCATGTTTGTTCTTCACTATATTCTGACAATGCCAAAAGGAATATATGATTTTTGAGAAACAAAATCAAATTATTTTTAAAGTCAGTTCAACAAGAAATATATAAAACAGAAGATTATATTTCTATGCATTCCATTTCACAATTATACGTGGTCTAAGGGGAAAAAGTTAAGTTTTTCCTATCTAGAAAGAGACATGCAATTAGATTCATCTATCCAAATTTCTCATTGTGAGCATGGGAAAAAATAAAGTCAGAGAAACTGTAACTTGCTGAGGGTACCACCACTAAGCTAGTAATAATACCAGACCCTGGCAGTTATAACCACAACCCAGGTAGCCCTGACTTTCAGGGCCATGCATTATGGGCCCAAGAAAGAACATATGTTGCTCCCTTACAGAAAAAGTTAACTATTTAAAATAAAGAAAGAGTTATCACTTAATAATCTTAATCTAACAAACAAATATTTTCAGTATGGCTTTCCTCCAAAACTCATCTGGAAGCATCAAAATATGATTCTCCGTCTTTCATCTACTCCTAGTCCTTTTTGGCCCTACAGTTATTAAAATGACATGAATGTGGCCGGGTGGGGTAGCTCACACCTGTAATCCAGCACTTTGGGAGGCCAAGGCGGGCAGATCACGAGGTCATCCTGGCTAACACGGTGAAACCCCGTCTCTACTAAAAATATAAAAAATTAGCCGGGCATGGTGGTGGGCGCCTGTAGTCCCAGCTACTCGGGAGGCTGAGGCAGGAGAATGGTGTGAACCCGGGAGGTGGAGCTTGCAGTAAGCCGAGATTGCACCACTGCACTCCAGCCTGGGCGACAGAGCGAGACTCCGTTTCAACAACAACAAAAAATATGACATGAATGTATGGTGCTTTAAAAGCCCTTGGGGGCTTTTGTTTGCCTTAAGAGTCAGGTTTTGTGATGAAAACCAAACCAGCCACACAGTCCTGTCTCGTAACTTCAGAGTTGTATCTTGCTTTAAACAAAGCTCGATCGTGCACTCTGCCTAGCTGCCTTAGTTCTTCATGTTGTTCCCATAAAATAACGACCCTCAAAGGACAAAGACCGAGGCTGATGGCAATAAAAAGCTTATGTGATGACTCCAACTTTAATTCCAAAAGCGATTCTGAAATCATTTGATGAATAGAAACATTCCTAGAACACCTTCCAAGGTAACTGCTTTGAATGAGATTGCACTTATTTGGAGATAAAATTTGTGGTATGTTTGTTAAATTTCATACTAATATTTTAATAATGGCTTATCTATATGCCTGACATTTGCTAGAATACATGATGAAAGAAAAATTTGTGGAAGTCTACACACTGCCAAATCTTTCCCAACTGTACAATCAATCTCACTATTAAATACTGAGAACATTAGAAAGTATATATGCTTGAGAGATTTCACAGCTTGTTTGGCCATATTATAAAACTTACAAGGAAGGTGTTTAACAACGTTTTCTCAAACACAATACTGTAAAAGGTTAATGTTCCTATTCTATAAGGCTAACTATAGCTGTCACACTAATCACAATTCTTGGCCAATATACTATAGATCCAAATTCACATACTGAAGAAAAGGGTTTCCTTCATAACTCTTATAAAGGACTTTATTCGATTATGTAGAAACTAGATTAGCGTTTATTGAGTACCTGTGCTGGGTGGTGGTAGAGCAAGTAGTTAGGAGGATAAGCTTTTGAAGCCTAGATCTAATTCTAAGGAAGTTAAGCTGCATAAAATAGTGGAAAACACATGAAATTTACAGTTTAAAGACCCACAATCTTGTCTCAGCTTCACCATATACTAATTATTGGATCCTGAATAAAACACATGGGAAGTGGATAGCTTTTCTAATATGTGATAGTAAAAGTATTTCAATGGCAATGAAGGAAAAGCAGAGACTAAGATTTCAAAGGTAGTAGAAAAAAAGTAACCCATTAAAGTATTCTACTATTCATTTATTAATAATATTTACTGAGTATCCATATGTGCCAGACACTGGGAATACAGATAAGGATCAGATGCAGAATCTAACAAATGAGGCAGTTAAATATGTCATTCTAATAAAACACAGTGCTATTATAGGGAAAGCATTGGGTGCTATGGGAACATGTAGTAGGAGTGCCTTCCCAAGTTAGGGAGTCAAAGAAAGCCTTCTGGAGGAAGTGACATTTAATCTAAACCAGAGAGTTGGGTAGATGTAGGCAGATGAAGGGTGGTTAAGAGTGTTCTAGGCAGAGGAAACAACATGGGGGCACATTCACCAAAGAAGAGAGAGGTAAGAGATGATGTTAGAAAGGCAGGCAGAGCCCATCAACTGAGGCCATGTAACCCATATTAAAGTGCATGGATTCTGTCCGGAAGATGCCATTCAAGTATTTTAAGCAGGAAGTTATATAGTCAGGGTTACACTTAAGGACTATGGAGAACAAACTGGAGAAGAACAAGAGCAAAGGCAGGAAGACCAATCAGGAGGCTGCTGCAGGAGTGCGGGGAAGGGATGAATGATGATGGCCCACAATCAAGACAGTGGGTTGGGAGAAAAGCAAATAAACTGAGAAGGAGGAAGATGTGACAGGATTTATTAGAGATAGTGTGGCAAAATGGCTTTGAAGACCAGCGAATCTGCATTAGAATCCTGACCACGCTATTTACTCGTTACGTGAATTGCTTCATTTTCCTGACATTTCGTTTCCCTACAAAACTTGGATAATACCATTTAACTCAAAGGTGGGAATTACTCCATTGGTGTGTGGCACTTCAGTAGGTACTCAATGTTATTTTTGTGGTAAGCAGAATTATAAGATGGCCCCCAAGACCCCTGCTCCTGGGTTTGCATTCCCGTAAGGGTGGGCAAGACATGGTCATATTACGTTATATGGCAAGGGGATTTTGCAGATGCACTTAAGGTCTCTAGTGAGTTGACTCTGAGTTAGTCAAAAGGGAGATTATCCTGACTGGGCCTGACCATAGCAGGTGAGCACAAAAAAGAGACAACAAGCCCAGCAAGC
This sequence comes from Homo sapiens, assembly GCF_000001405.40. Lineage (NCBI taxonomy): Eukaryota > Metazoa > Chordata > Mammalia > Primates > Hominidae > Homo > Homo sapiens. The sequence goes on along the minus strand of NC_000022.11, from coordinate 35,280,019 downwards.
TATTTTGAAGACATCAACTGATTCTAAAGTTTTTATGAAGAGGCCACAGACCCAGAATGGACAAGGCAGTATTGATGAAGAACAAAGCTGAAGGACTGACACTACCCTACTTCAATATTACTATTAAGCTACAATAACCAAGACAGTGTGGCATTAGCGAAAGAATACACAAATACATCAATGGAACAGAACAGAGGGCCCAGAAACAAATCTACCTAAATAAAGTCAACGAATCTTTGACAAAGGAGCAAGGACAATACAATGAAGAAAAGATAGTATTTTCAACAAATGATGCTGGGACAATTGGATATCCACATGCCAAAAAAAAAAAAAAAAAAAAAAGGAATCTAGACACAGACCTCACCCCCTTCACAAATTAACTCAAAATAAGTCTCAGACCTAAATGTAAAGTACAAAACTATAAAACTCCCAGACAGTAACACAGGAGATGATCTTGAGCTTGGCAATTACTTTTCAGAAACAGAAACCAAAGACATAATCCATGGAAGAAGGAACTGATAAACTGGGGTTCATTAAAATTAAAAACTGCTCTGCAAAAGACACTTAAAAAAATAAAAAGACACCGGGCGCAGTGGCTCACGCCTGTAATCCCAGCACTTTGGGAGGCCGAGGTGGGCGGATCATCTGAGGTCGGGAGTTCGAGACCAACATGGAGAAACCCTGTCTCTACTAAAAATACAAAATTAGCCGGGTGTGGTGGCACATGCCTGTAATTGCAGCTACTCGGGAGGCTGAGGCAGGAGAATTGCTTGAAAACCCAGGAGACAGAGGTTGCGGTGAGCCGAGATTGTGCCATTGCACTCCAGCTTAGACAACAAGAGTGAAACTCCGTCTCAAAAAAAAAAAAAAAAAAAAAAAAAAAAAAAGACAATCCATAGACTGTGAGAAAATATTTACAAGGGGCATAGCTGATTAAGAACTATTATCCAAAAATCTCTCTCTCTTTTCTTTTAAGACAAGATCTCACTCTGTCATGCAGGCTGGAGTGCAGTGGTGCGATCATAGCTCACTACAGTCTTGAATTCCTGGATTCAACTGTTTCCCTGGCTTCAGCCTCCTGAGTAGTTAAGACTACGAGTGCGTGCCACCATGCCTGGCTAATTTTTTTTTTTTTTTTTTTTGTAGAGATGCAGTCTTGCTATGCTGCCACAGTGAGACTCCAACTTTACAAAAAATTAAAAAATTAGCTGGGTGTGGTGGTGCATGCTTGTAGCCCCAGCTACTCAGGAGGCCGAGGTGGGATAATCAATTGAGCCCAGGAGTTTGAGGCTGTAGTGAGCTAGGATTGCACCTCTGCACTCCAGCCTGGGTGACACAGTGAGACCCCATCTTAAAAAAAAATAATATTAAAAAAAAATACATAAAATTTAAAAGCCCCAGACCCCAGGTGGTGGTTTGGAAGGGGTTTAATGACATTTCTTGGGTAGACTCATTCCTAAGAATATTCAGTCACTCATTCTTTCAGGCAAGATATATTGAAGGTATTGGGAACTCAATGGCAAATGAGACAGGCCAAGATCCTTGTACGAATGGGGCTGAGATCCCATGGTACAGCCACTTTGGAAAACAGTTTGGTGGTTCTTACAAAACTAAACATTCTTAACATATAATCCATCAGCTGTGCTCCTTGGTATTTACCCAAAGGAGTTGAAAACTGATGTCCACACAAAAACCTGCACTTGGAAGTTTATAGCAGCTTCATTCATAATTGCCAAAACTTGACAGCAACCAAGACGTCTTACAATCAGTGAATGAATAAATTGTAGTAGTATATCTAGACAATGGAATATTATTCAGTGCTAACAGGAAAAAAAGAAAGGGTCGAGCCATGGAAAGACATGGAGGAAATTTAAGGACATATTACTAAGTGCAAGAAACCAATCTGAAAAGGCCAGATACTGTATGATTCCAACTATGTGGCATTCTGGAAAAGGCAAAACTATGGAGACAATAAAAAGGTCAGTGGCTGCCAGGGAGGTAATGAATAGGTGGACCACAGGATTTTTAGGGCAGTGAAAATACTCTGCCTGAGACTGTGATGGCGGATACGTGTCATGATACATTTGTCCAAACCCACAGAATGGACAATACCAATGTAAGAGGGAGCCCCAATGTAAACTATGGACTCTGGGTGATAATGATGTGTCAATGTAGGTTCATCAGTTGTAACAAATGTACTAGTCTGGTGGGGGATGGTGACAGTGTGGAAGGCTGTGCATGTGTGGGACGGGGGATATATGGGTTACCTCTGTACTTTCCTCTCAATTTTGCTAACCTAAAGCTGCTGCTGCAAAAAAATAAAATCTTAAAAGAGTTTCCTGAACAAATTTCACATGAATAGAAACCACATTGGCTGGGCGCAGTGGCTCACACCTGTAATCCCAGCACTTTGGGAGGCCAAGGCGGGCAGATCACCTGAGGTCAGCAGTTCAAGACAGCCTGGCCAATATGGTGAAACCCCATCTCTTCTAAAAACAGAAAAATTAGCCAGGCATGGTGGCATGTGCCTGTAGTCCCAGCTACTGGGGAGGCTGAGGCATGAGAATCACTTGAACCTGGAAGGCGGAGGTTGCAGTGAGCTAAGATGGTGCCATTGCCCTCCAGCCTGGGCAACATGAGTAAAAGTGTCTCAAAACAAAAACATAAACAAAAACAAAACAAAGAAAACCCTTGCATCGAACCAACATTAAGAAACACACAAATAAAATGAGACAAGAAGGCATGACAGTCTCTGGCTGGTCTCGAATTTGAAGAAAACAAATTGCTATGAGTTCTACAACTATAAGAGACTGAAAGCTGCCAACAACTTGAATGAGCTTGAGCCTCGGATGAGAACCTGGCTCTACTGGACGCCTTGATTTCAGTCTTGCGAGACCCTGAGCAGAGAACCGAGTTGAGTCCTCCAGAAGGACTTTGATCTACACAACTGTGAGACAGTAAATGGATGTTGTTTTAAATTGCTAAGCTTGTGATAATTTTTTATGCCACAAGAGAAAACTAATATGAATTATTTTCTATTCCTTATACATTTTCCAAAATAGAAGTTGTGGCACCCAAAAAGGCAATATAAGCTTTTTAAAAAATAAAAATTGTGGTGAAGGAGGATAGGGTGAAATCATTTGACCTTTATCAGACAAATAGCAGCAAGACCTTTATTTTAAAGTTTTTCATTGAAATAGCAAACCAAACTAAAAACACTATTTTAGTATTCTTCTGGTGAAGCCAGTCCTGTTTAGAGATGGTAAAGAAGTATGTTGTGGGTGCTGGATCTCCTTTACTAATTTAGTATCAGCTTTTTATCTCCTAATGTCTTAAGTGTTCTAAGGATCCTCTCTTTCAAATCCTCCTTTATTGGGCCTAAGATACAATGGAGAGGCACCACACGCACACCCAAACACATACACACCCTCGCCCATGAGTTCATGTAAAGGGTACTCGTGGCCATTTGGCGGGGTGTGGGTTAATTATTCTGGGTGTTCCACCTGCCACTCATTCCACTCTAAGAACCTATACCTTGGAGTGAGTGGGACAGGAGATATAAATCTCTTCTCCCCAGATAGTTTCTGTGTCTCTCTCAGTGTGGGCAACTCGTTACACAAGTGTGATTCTGACGTTTGTAGCTAAGGTAATTTAAAAAATGAAATAAAATCATGGTTCCTGAACAAGGCCAATGACTTCATCTGGTGGTGGAGAGAAAAATCTAGCTGCACTAGAATGACATTCTGTTGGACTGAGACTCTGTCAGCCTTCAATGTAGAGCCTTTCTAAAGGATTTTCAAGGGAAACTCTGACTACTTACACTGTTCGCCTCACGTGCTGACTTAAAACCTAACCACTGTGTAAGATGCAACTCTAGTCTGTGGACCTAAAGTTCAGATTTCAAACTTAAGGGTTAAAAATTTTCCATGGCACATTTTTCTAAATTAAAAATATACAAATAGAGGATGATCTCTATAAATACAAAACATTTCCATGAGATTCCAAATGCAAGGCCAGTAATTCCACTCTAAATTTTCTCATGAAAGAAAACATACAGGATGGCAAGATTACAGCTGGGATACACAGACCCTTCTTTAATTAATAAAATGTTAATATTTTTAAAACTTGGATACTTTATTATTAGTAGCAAATTACTTGCAACAAGTCCACTTAACTACATGTGACTCATGATGTTACCATTTTACTACCAGGATCTCCTTTTAAATATTTGATGAGGTATGTCACAGTATCAAGAATATTCAAAAAGTAACTTCTTTTTAAGCAACAGGGTCTTGCTGTGTCACCCAGGATGGAGTGCAGTGGCTCATTACGACTCACTGAAGCCTTGAACAGGTTTAAGTGATCCTCCTGCCTTGGCCTCCCAAAACTCTGGGATTACAGGTGTGTGCCACTGCTCCTGGCCCAAAATGCAACTTGTTAATGCTCTTTATAAAGTGTCCTGCTTAACTTTTTTGGGTCATAGAACTGTAAGAACCTGATGAAAATCTCATAACTCTAGTTTAAGACCCTGTTTTAAAGAATACAATATTTGGGAGTTAAAGCACAATACTGCTTATGATTCTAAAAAATGAAATTTGGTGGCTGGGCATGGTAGCTCATGCCTGTAATCCCAGCACTTTGGGAGGCCGAGGCAGGTGGATCACCTGAGGTTAGGGGTTCAAGACCAGCCTGGCCAAGGTGGTGAAACCCTGTTTCCACTAAAAAGACAAAAATTAGCTGGGTGTGGTGGTGGGCACCTGTAATTCCAGCTACCTGGGAGGGTGAGGCAGGAGAATCACTTAAACCCGGGAGGCAGAGGTTGTAGTGAGCTGAGATCGCACCATTGTACTACAGCCTGGGCGACAAGAGCGAAAATCCGTCTCAAAAAAAAAAAAAAAAAAAAAAAAAAGAAATTTGGTGATGTTAATACTACGTACGAGCCACTGTTGTAAGACCTTTACCCATAGAAATTCCCTTAAACCTCATAACAACCCTATGAAGTAAGTTCCATCATTCCTGCCAGTGTAAAAATGAAGAAACTGACATCCAGACTCACAGCTCCACGGAGTGGCAGGGCCACTAAACACAGGCAGCCTGGCTTTGGAGCCTGGACTTGTAACCATTTTACCACCTGATGCTCTTCTGAACTAACTTGACTGAGATCCCCAAATCTGATCTGGCTAAAAGGAAAACCAGCAGATAAGTAAGGTTTCTACACCAAAGTTTTTATTTTAACTACCTTGAATGAAAATCTTTCTACATGTACTCTATACTTCTGCTATCTGTCACACCACATCAATGAATATAATTTAACCACTTTCTGTATATTGAAATGAGCGTGGCTCTTGTAGTCAGAAAAACCTGGGTTCTAATTCCTGTTCCGCCATGAACAGGTATGTCCCGGGGCATGCTATTTCGTTTATTTAAGCTTATTTCTGTGAAACTGAGATGACAACACCTACACCTCATTGGGTTCTTGTGAAAATTCAGTGATACATAGTAGATAAAAAACTAGTGTAGTGCCTAGAACATACGAGGAACTCTACATGTACAGCTGTTAGGATTGTGCTTTGCCAATTCCTACTCAGTTCTCCTGCCCCTTCCTAGAAGGCCAGCCTGGCAGCAATTCTTCCTGCCTTCTACATACCTTTCGCTGACTTTGCTTCAGTCATATCAACTTCCTGGGTTTCTCTGAACATCCTGTGCCCTCTGGCGTCTCAGGGACTTCACAGATATTTTCCATTCCATGACTGAGGTGCCTACTCCTATTTTCCACCTGATAATTCCTACTTGGCCTTAAGATTTGGTTCATATGACAGCTCTCACAGGAAGCCAGCCATTCCGGGCTTTCCTTGCACTCTCTCAGTACTCCGCGCCCATGCCTCTGCTGAAGTTCAACACACCAAGTCCTTTCCAACCTTTTACTAGACTGAAAGCTCTTTGAGAGCAGACACTGTATCTTCATCTTTGTGTCCTTACTGCCTGGGAGGATTTAAGAGCAGAGTAAATATGTACTATTGAATAGCAAAGTCTCAGAACTGCGCATGAAGAGGCCAAGTGTGTATTCATGTGTGGCACCTCATCTGATTTCCACAACATCCTTGTAAGTGAAGTAGGCTGGGTGCTAATTCCCCATTTTAAGCATAAAGGAACAGAGGCAGAGAGGTCACAGGACTCATCTCACTGGTCCTTCTTTTAGTGACGATGAAGCTCTCCAATGAGCTGTAGGTTTTATAACATCTGCTTTTGCTCCTTAGAGGCCCTGTTTTCTTTCTGGTTCTTAACTATTTTCCAAATATGTGATGTAATCACAGATTTGGTTCCTAAAGGTGGGAGGTTATATTAAGGTAGGGTATTATATGCATAAAACATAGTCTCCTTGCTTAGTCTAATATGTGAAATGAGTGGCTGAAAACAAAATTTTAAAAAGATGTTTTCAAATATATTTTGTGCTTTTGAAGAACTTAAGACGTAAGCGAAAGTAACTGTAACAGCTGACATTTACTAAGCCATGCCCTGTGCTAAGCATGTTACATGCACCACCTAATTTAATCTAACCCCAATTTACAAATGAGCAGAAGTGAGAAAGCAATCTCAGGAGAACAGACCTAGTAAGTGGCAGACCAGAGTAAGAATCCAAGTCTGCTGAATTTGAGTCAAAGATCTATCATGGCACGGAGTAACCATGTCTTAAAGTTGTGGAAAGGCATGTGGCATAGTGGAAAGATTATAGCTTCTTCCTCCGTCAGTGGGGCTAATGATAATTATTAATCAAGAGTGGTAACATTCGGAAAATGCCTAGGAGAGCCTGGCACTCAATAGATGGTAGTGACTAATTTCTACCATTTATTGTTGCTGTTACTTAGCCTCAGGTTTGCCAGAGAGAGAACTAATGTAACAGCATCACAAGTCTAGTTATGTTTCAGACTTTTGTTTATTAGATCAACAATGTCTGGGTGTGCCAGGCATTAGGCTACCTGGCCCTGCCTTAGGTTTAGAGAAAATGTGCATATTTTGGAAACACACAGATAACTAAAGGCATGTCTCTGAAATGGCAACATTACGGGATATTATTTATTTATTTTCTTGAGACACAGTCTCGCTGTTGCCCAGGCTGGAGGGCAGTGGCGTGATCTTGGCTCACTGCAACCTCCGCCTCCCGGGTTCAAGCGATTCTCCTGCCTCAGCCTCCTGAGTAGCTGGGATTACAGGCACGCGCCACCACGCCTGGCTAATTTTTGTACTTTTAGTAGAGATGGGGTTTCACCAAGTTGGTCAGGCTAGTCTTGAACTCCTGACCTCATGATCCACCCACCTTGGCCTCCCAAAGTGCTGGATTACAGGTGTGAGCCACCACGCCTGGCTATTATTTTAAGTGACAAAAAAATGGGCTTTTATTTGGGGTAAAACCAAAAGTAAGGTATATTTAAAATGTAACTGTATCCTGCTCCTCCTATATAAATGAAAAGCTTCCACTGCAATGAGATGATCTTTAGTGGGAAATCATCAAGATATTACCATATAATTTCTCTACTCTTCCTTAGAATGCAGGACTCAAAACCAGTAAAACCAACCAACCAACCAAACAAAAACCACCTCCAAAACAACTGAAAGGCTACTTTTCACCCAGGAAATAGTGTAATTTCCCTTCTTTGTGTCAGTCAAAATTCTCAAGTAAGAGCCCACCGCTGCTGCGTTCACTTCCACACCGCTCACTCTTTCCTCAACCCCTGATCCAGCTCCATTCCTACCTACTGCACTTGAACTCCTTGGCCTCTCTAGCATGAGATTGTTCTACTCTTGAAACTGTTTTTCTCCTCCCTTCTGTGTTTCTCCTCCAACATAGCCGCCCCCTCTTCCTTCTCTTATATAAATGCCCCTGTATAAGTGTTCTACAAAATTCTGCTCTGAGCTCAATTTCCTCTTATCCATTTACCTATTTCATTTATCACACATGAACACCCAATTTCTCACCCAAGTTCCAGCCAAATTCTGGGTCTTGAACTTCCATTGCCACTGAGATGATTATAATATTTATTGAATGCTCACTAATGTGCTGAGCATTGTGCAAAGACAAAGTTCTCCAATGTTCTTGGTTCACAGTGCTTATGTGGGTTTTCAATGTGGTAGTTGCTTTTTACCTCTAGAGCACACACACTTGGCTTTGAAAAGATATGGCACTACTGAAAAGAATGTAACATACATTGTTGAAACTGGGAATTACTTTGAACTAGTAGTTCGTAAGGTATCTGAGAGATGTCAAGTATTGTTGTTTGTCTCAAAATGTATTTAAAATATCAAGCGTTGTCCTGGTGAGTCTGATGTGGCGTCCCAGAGCGCCTTGGCACACCGAGGCCCTGAACACTTCCGCATGTATTGCCTCATTTAATCCTCACAACCCTAGGAAGCAAGTCTGTTATCCTCAACTTAGAGATGGAGTTGTTCTGTAACTTATCCAACATCACATTGTTTGTAAGTGGGTGAATAGAGCCAGGAATTGAACTCAGGTGGGTTCCACAGCCCACGCTCTCAACGACTTAGCTATGTTGAATCTCCCGATCTCAATTAACTTATCTTCTTCTCCCAAACCAGCTATTCTTCTCACCTTCTCTATTTTTATTAGAGTCCTGGTCCTAGAATCTAAGGTAGAAGGGGTGCACAGAGGCCTTTGGCATTTCTACCAGTAGTTTCTCCAGTCTCTGCTCACTGTAGGTTGAAGAAACACTACTCCTAAATCATTCTTTTCTATCTCTGGGTGGACTTTGTCCCTGACTTTTTATTTATTTTTTTTGAGACAGGGTCTTGTCATATTGCCCAGCTGGTTGTGAACTCCTGGGTTCAAGCAATACTCCTGCCTCACCCTCCTAAGTAGCTGAAACTCAGGTGCTTGCCACCATGCCTGGCTAATTAAAAAAAAAAAAATTAAGAGGTAGAGTCTTGCTGTATCACCTAGGTTGGTCTCAAACTCTTGGGCTTGAGTGATCCCACCTCAGCCTCCCAAGTAGCTGGGATTACAGGTGCATGCCATTGCGCCTGCCTGTCCCTGACTTTTATACAGTTCTTTTTTACAGTGAAACAAAACCCAGGAAAATATATTTTTAAAAAGCTTTATAGGAATTTTTTATGCACAAATCAGGTTTAAAAACCACAGTATATACACTATAAATATTTGTTGGAGAAATAAATGATTAAATTCAGATTATGACTACTTCAGATTTTTTGGACAGCCACAATCAAAGATATTAACTCTTAATAAGGTTTTTGCTATAAATTAAAATTCATTTTTCACTAGCAACTGCTAGCCACATGGGCAAATTATAGATAAGTCCTTAACTTTGAAGAGCTTACTATTTTTCCAACGTTATCTAGGTTCAAAGCTGAAGAGATATTTCTTAGACTCATTTATGTTTCTGGCTTCCCAGATACAAGCCCACTAGGTCAGCGGTCCTCAACCTTTTTGGCACCGGGTACCGGTTTCGTGGAAAACAATTTTTCCATGGACCTGGGGCAGGGGTAGGGGCAGAGTTCGGGATAATTCAAGTGCATTCATTACATTATGCCTTTTATTTCTATTAGTATTACATTGTAACATATAATGAAATAATTATACAACTCACCATCATGTAGAATCAGTGGGAGCCCTGAGCTTATTTTCTTCCAACTAGATGGTCCCATCTGGGGGTGATGGGAGACAGTGACAGATCATCGGGCATTAGATTCTCATAAGGAACCTGCTGGGGTTTGTGCTCCTATGAGAATCTAATGCCGCTGCTAATCTGACAGGAGGTGGAGCTCAGGCAGTAATGTGAGCGACAGGGAGTGGCTGTAAATAGAGATGAAGCTTCAATGGCTTGCCCGCCACTCAACTCCTGCTATGTGGCTGGTTCCCCACAGGCCGCGGACGGCTACTGGTCTGTGGTCTGGGGACTGGGGACCCCTGCTGTAGGTAGATCTTGTCAATTTTTCCTTCAGAGCCTCTCTTGAATCAACCTCTTCAATTTTATTTCTCTCAAGCCTTTTTTTTTTCTTCTTCTCTTTAAAAGAGACAGGGTCTTGCTCTGTCAACCAGGTTAGAGTGCAGTGGCACAATCACAACTCACAGAAGCTTTGAACTCCTGGGTTCAACTGATCCTCCCACTTCAGCCTCAGGAGTAGCTGGGACTCCAGTCATGCGTCACCACACCTGGATCTTGCTAGATTGCCCAGGCCAGCCTTGAACTCTTGGACTCAAGCGATCCTCCTGTCTCTTAGATTTTCATTACTAACCTTCTGGACTATAGTAACTCCCTTGGTTATTCGTCTCTCCCTACTCTAATCCACCTTGTACAACTCTATCATTTTATTCTTATCATTTAGATCATAAATAAACCTTGCTTATAAACCCCAAACTGCCTGCTGCCAAGTCCTTTACTTTGGCATTTAAGATTCTCTACAATTTGCTCCCAACCTACCTTTTCAGTACTATGTTTTCATCCACATATTCATTCGACATATACTTACAAAGTGCTTATTAAGGACATTGAAGAGTTGAAGATACTATAAGGTGGTAAAGGAGCTTACATTCTGCCCCAAGCAGACAGTGCTGCTAAGTTAAAGAAATTGGGTGTAGCCCCTTCTATGAATTCTATTTTGTTTGTTTGTTTTGAGACAGTCTCACACTGTCACCCAGGCTGGAGTACAGTGGCACAATCTCGGCTCACTGCAGCCTCTGCCTCCCAAGTTCAAGCAATTCTCCTGCCTCTGCCTCCAGAGCAGCTGAGATTACAGGCGCATGCCACCACACCCAGATAATTTTTGTATTTTTAGTAGAAATGGGGGTTTCACCATGTTGGCCAGGCTGGTCTCCAACTCCTGACCTCAAGTGATCTACCTGCCTCTGCTTCCCAAACTGCTGGGATTACAGGTGTGAGCCACTGCACCCAGCTCCTTCTATGAATTCTAAGCATCAGTCTTCCCTTATAGTCTTTAATAAGGGAAACAGAATATGTACAAAGATAATGCCAATATAAGGAAGAAAATAAGTGCAGTAAGACAGCAAGGTAATATGGGAGTTTAGACGTTAATTCTAATGAGGGGTGTACAGAATGTCTTAGAAGAGGTGGCATTTGATTAGGTCTTGCAAAGAGGGCAGAGCTTCAATATGTAAGAAGAGGAAGGTCACTGTAAAAAATGAGCAAAGGAATAGAGGTAAGAATGTATGGGAAACAAGTCTGATTTCCATACAGTGTATGTTTAATAGACTAATAAGAGGTAAAGCTGAAAAGGGAGGATTAGGCTAAATCCAGACACTTAATGAATGTTTGGCTAAGGTTTCAACTTACCTGATATTTATTCCTTTGACAAGTATTTACTGACTGTCTACAATAGGCCAGATGGCAGGTTATACACTAGGGATAGCAAGACAGACGTGGTCCTGGTCCTCTTGGAGCTTAGAGTCTACCAAAAAAGCAGTAAGAATCCACTGAAGATGCAGAACACAGGACTGCCGTCATCAAGGTGCTACTTAAGATTAAGATTACTCTAGCATCAATGTGTGAGATTAACTGCACGGTAGAATAAAAAAAAAAGCTACTTATTACAGTAAGTGTAGAAGGGAATGAGGCCTAAGACAGTGGCAATGGTAATGGAGGAGCTAAAGGCTTGAAAGATATTAAGGAGGAAGACTATCAAGCTTAATATTTGTGCAGAAATAGTTGGAGGGGAGTAGGGAAGGGGGAAATGTAAAAGTGAACGATAAGACTGGAAAAAATCAGAACAGTTGTTGGCTCTGGGGTTGGGGATGGATTGGAGAGGGGTACAAGAGAGCTCTCTGGGATGATGGTAATGTCTGTATCTTGATAGAGGTTTGATCACACAGGTGTGTGCATCTATCAAAACTCATCACATACTCAATATCTATGCATTTCACCCTATGTAAATTTTATCTTTATGGTTTTGAGACTGAGTCTCACGCTGTCGCGCAGGCTGGACTGCAGTGGCGTGATCTTGGCTCACTGCAGCACCTGCCTCCTGGGCTCAAGCGATTCTCCTGCCTCAGCCTCCCTATATGTAAATTTCATATTTACAAATTCCTGAAAACAAATATTGAACTCAGGTTAATGATATGCAAACTGAAGTGTTTAGGGGTGAAATGTATGATACCTGCAATTTACTTTGAGATACATTAAGAAAGATAACATGGACTGGTGGATGAAAGGATGGGCAGGTATATGATAAAGCAAAAAGAAAATATTAACTGTAAACTCCTGGTGGAGGAGATACAGTTTTCATTACAGAATTCTTTCAATCCTTTTTGTCTGAAAAATTTCATAATAAAATGTTGAGAAAAGCGATAAGCATTCAGTTTTGAGTTTGGGTTGACTGGCGGGATACTGGGAATACAGAAGGTGTAGCTAGGTCATGTCAATTAGTGACATAAGGGTTTGAGGTACCCAAGGCATTCAAGTAGAAATATTTAGCAGGCAGCTGGAATTGCACAAGTAGAGTTCAGTTATAGTTATTTTACTCTGCTGCTTCCTGAACATCTCTCTGCCTCCATGCGTCCACTTCCACTGAAACCTTCTCCTTCTTCAAGCTTTCCCTGACCCTGTGCTCCGACATTCAGCACTGGATGATTAGTCCATGGCATTATCACGTCACTAGACTGGAAATTCTTAGGATAAACAGAATCTTATAAAGAACACATAGTGTTTATTTCATAAAGCAATTTTCCAAATAAACAACTGAATAAAACCTGACTTAGTATTGGAATATCCAGGTCTTTATGTTCACACTGATTCCTGGCTCAGAGGTACAGCTTTGTGGTTTTTTTGAGATAAACAGATGTGTGTGTGTATATATATATAATATATTATTTTATATATATTATATATACACACACACATACTGATAAACAGATATAGATCTACAGATAGATATAAACAGATAGATATAAGCAGACTTTCTTAAAAGGCACCCTTTATAGTGGAGAAATAACTTCCACCTCAGAGATCAAACTAAATTCCCATTCCTAGATTCTTTTCTTTTTTCTTTTGAGACAGGGAGCCTCACTCTGCTGTCCAGGCTGAAGTTGCAGTGGCAAGATTATAGCTCACTGTAGCCTCCACCTCTTGGGCTTAAGCAATCCTCTCACCTCAATCTCCTGAGTAGCTGGGACTATAGATGTGCACCCCCACACCAGGCAAATTTTTGTATTTTTTTGTAGAGACTGGGTTTCGCTATGTTGCCCAGGCCGGTCCCGAACTCTTGGGCTCAAGGGATCCACCTGCCTCAGCCTCCCAAAGTGCTGGGATTACAGGCATGAGCCACCACACCCAGCCCCAGATTCTTAATACATTTGATTTTCTCGTTCTTAGTCGCTTTTCTTCCAGATTTTATCTGACATTGCATTTTGCAGAACTATAAATAAAAAAAGAAACTTTTAATGACATAGTTATGAGACCCTAAAGTTCACTGCCAGAAACTGTTATGAGGAAAGAAATCAAACCAAGGTGACTGATTTATCATTCCTATCTCCCTAATCAACAGTGAGCTCCCTAAAGTCAACAACTATGTCCTGCTTGTGTTTTTACTTCCTGGTACTATCTACAGCATTGAGCTTGGCATACAGCAAGCACTCAGACAGTAAAAGAACATATATTCGACACTAAAAAGAATACCAGAAAGTAGCCAACACCAGCTGGTGGAAAGTCATTAGCTATTCTGTTAACTTGACTGCTCATTGTTCTACCAATTTTGATAGTCTGTTTTTAAAAATGAACTCAAAGAACACCTTTTGACATCTCCCAACTGCCCTAAGCAGACAGTGATGCTAAGTGAAAGAAATTGGGTTTAGCTCCTTCTGTGAATTCTAAGAACTAGCTGGAAAAAGCCACAGTGTAACTAAACCTATTCCTGGCACAATGGGAGAATAACTCTATTAAGAAACCCTAGGCCGGGCATGGTGGCTCATGCCTGTAATCCTAGCACTTTGGGAGGCTGAGGTGGGTGGATCACTTGAGGTCAGGAGTTTGAGACCAGCCTGGCCAACATGGTGAAACCTCGTCTCTATTAAAAATACAAAAAAAAAAAAAAAAAATTAGTCGGGTGTGGTGGCGGGTGCCTGTAATTTCAGCTACTTGGGAGGGTGAGGCTTGAACCTGGGAGGAGGAGGTTGCAGTGAGCCCAGACTGCACCACTGCACTCCAGCCTGGGCGACAGAGCGAGACTCCATCTCAAAAAAAAAAAAAAAGATTGCTTCTATATCAGACAGACTGGGCTACTGGTAATATTTTATACTTTATATCATTCCAACATATCCCCCAAACATGCTTAATTCCCAGTGGTTTACCTCAACTGCTTAACTTAAAAGTCCACTGACTACCCAGGAAGAACCTGCTTAATCTCTTACCCCCACCACACTTAAAAGATGCTTTACCTTTTCTCCTCTCTCTCTCTCTTTGTCCTTCTCTTCTTTTTTCTTTTTTTTTTCACTATGCCCATCTGTGTGGAGGCCAGGAAGTGGCAGGGGAGGTGCTGCTGCTCCAGCGTATGGGATGCTGGGAGGAGGGCCAGATGTCACTGTGACCTCTCCCACTGGCACGGCAGAAAGTCCTAAACTTCTCTTGGACTTGGAGTGTCGCTTCTCTTTATGCTTCTCCTTGTCTTTCTTCTTTTTGCTCTTCTTTGACTTCTTTTTCTTCTTGATTTCTCGGTAAGAATCATCTATCACTAACTCCCCAGCCTCTAGTTCCCCACCAGAGGATGAGTCTGATTCTACCAGAATAGGTTCAAGCCCTGAAAGATCAAGGTTAGCACTGTGGGACTCTGCGAACTGGGAGGCGTCAGACCCACAGCCTTCAGGGCCAGGAGATGAATGTGCGTCTGAGGATGACTTGTGCTTTTTCCGGGCTGTTTTCAGAAAGCTCTGTAACTCATGTCCTAGGAGTAAAGCACCCTGCTCATCCCGAGCTGATTTCTTTGAGGATTTTTTCACAGTCGCTTGTTGGGAGGGATATTGAAAAGACTCCTCATCAACAGAGCTGCTTCCCTTCTCCTTTGGTGACAGAATAAGTTTCATTTTTAAACCATCAGGCTCCCGAAGGGTCAGTGTCTCTGTGTTCACATAGAGAGGTTTCATTTTTTTCGATTTGTGGGAGCCACCATCCTCTAGGGGTAGTTCCCCACTGCTTCCACTGACTTTCTTCCTGTGGTGCTCCTTTTTACTCTCCGAATGGCTTGAAGAGCCAGAGGATTTCTCCCCAGTCTTTTTGGAGGGCTTGGAGCCTGCTGCCAGTGGGGAAGTGATAGCTTTCAACAGGTCCATAGCTGTATCAGTAGACTGTGGGCTGGACTTTTTCTTTTTCTTCTGTGACGATTCCAAAGACGAAATATCTAGAAATAATCAAGAGAAGTACTGTCAATATGATGGGAAGCAACTTCTAACAAGTTTCCTCTCTCATCAAAAGCACCTAGCTAACATGAGAAAGAGGCTAACAGGAATGATTTGAAGGGAGACCCTTTAACTGATTCCTAACATTGAGAAATGATGCCCTTGTGCTTCTTGGCTTGGTAGAGTCTGCCTCTGACCCTGGACACAGTTCTTGCCACTAAAGTTGTTTCTCTTCATTGAGTCTTCAGAAGCAACCAAAGAGCACATACCCAGAAGAACTGACTATAGCTGTGGGATTATGGGAAGTTAACAATTCAGATTGCAGACAGAGTATCATTTGTTTCTGTGTTCAGGACAAACCCATTCTGGTGAAAGTTGAGTCTCATCAGCTATGTGCATAACATAGCTAAGAAAACTGGTTCTGTGAGTGGATATATACTGGTTGAGAAGTGACCCACAGGTGCAGGCCAGAGGACTACGTATGGCAAAAGGGATGCTAGATAACAATGGGCACAAGATAAGTGGATGATTGGGGGGAGAAGGAACCTGGTACCTGGTGTATCACAAATGCAGACTGTTCTTCTATGCTGAATCCTCCAAAATACCAGCCCTCCACCTCTCTCCTCCTTCACACTGGTTTATCGGCACTCAGAACAAGAACCACTGTCCTGTTAAATAGGCCACTGAGTCAGCAACATCTGGATCCCTTTCCCCTACCCCGACTCCAAGAACCAGCGATGTGTTTATCCCACCTGTTGCCCATTCCCATCCTCACCTCCATAGTAGTAATCATCAGAGGAGTGCTTCCTCTTCTTCTTGTGTGTGTCCGTCCCCAAGAAGTAAAGTTCACTATCCTATAATTAAAGAAGAATTGACCAATAATAAGATGATGAGGCAAATGCAGTTTGTAACCACTCTTGTCTTTGATGATTTTTGATTTTGGGAAACAAAGCACAAGAAATAATAAAAATAGATGTGCATAACGTTTTATTTTTCTTTTCTCAAGTTATTAAAAAATACTTCCTTCTTCAAATATTAGGAAATATGGTAAGAAGTAGTTTAAGACTTTCCTGGCGCAGTGGCCCAGGCCTGTAATCCCAGCACTTTGGGAGGCGGAGGCAGGTGAATCATTTGAGGTCAGGAGTTTGAGACCTGCCTGGCCAACATGGTGAAACCCTGTCTCTGATAAAATACAAAAATTGGCCAGGCGTGGTGGCCCGCGCCTGTAATTCCAGCTACTCGGGAGGCTGAGGCAAGAGAAACGCTTGAACCTGGGAGTCGAAGGTTGCAGTGAGCAGAGATTGTGCCATTGCATTCAAGCCTGGGCCATGAGAGAAAAAAAAAAAAAACAAAAAAAAACTCTGCATCACCAAAAAAAAATGAGTAGTTTAAGACTTTCCTAATTTAAATTTTCAGGACTTACCTTCAACTTCTTCTTGGAAGAATTCCTGACCTGAGCAGCAATTTCTTCCTCTTCCCTTAAAAAATCTTTGTAAGAACGTTTTTTCTCTCGTTGGCTTCGGCCAGCTGCAAGTCCTATGTCCTCAAAGGTATGATCACCATCAAAACAATCTGAGAAGCACAGGTTTATTTGGGAAAGGAAATGAGAAAGTCAAGTAAGTAATGACCAAATCGTCATGCAGGTAATGCAACAGTTCCTCTATTTCCAAATTAAAACAATGTTTCAATCAAGTCCACTGAAATACAGGGCTAGACCCAGGGGAACAGAATATTTCTTGATGACCTAGCTGCAAATACAAGAATCAAACCTGAAGAAACAATGTTTCCATGCTATGCAAAGGCCCCATGTGCAACCTCAGATATGGTTTCTGAGTTGTGATTTGGTAGGAGGACACAGACTTGCAGACGAAAGGCTGAAAAGAATAAGGATTCATGTGCTGTGCTGCTCTCTGTGGGAGTCCAGGATGTGATTCCTATCCCCAGACTCCTGCACACTGGAGCTGGCAAGGACCAAGAGTGCTGCAGGGGATCACCCCAATAAACTAAGAGACTCATATTTCAGACTCTCGTGTTGGAACCCCTGTCCTGGTTTTCGTTTCCATGGGCCCAGTCTGGGGATGGCGTGGAGGCTGAGTGTCATAACAGTGCTCTGGACCATCACTTGGGAGTCCAGGCTGTGGTGCCCAGTCCTGGTCTCTATATCCATGGGCTGCAAGGATTGAAGAGGATACCCCCTTTGGAATGCTTCTCAGATTATGGGGTCATACCTTCTTTCTTCACGGAGTCATCATAAGCCATGGTGGTCCTGCAGGGCCTTTGAGAATGTGTCACTGTGTCCAGGCTCCTTCCCGTCTACAGGACCAGGTCTGAGAAACAAAGAAGGAAAACCCTCCTGTAATGCGAAATCACTGAGGAGAAGCAACCTTCCAGATGGAAATGCGCAGTGATCCAAGGGCTGACTGGAAGGGCAGCAAGAAATAAAAAGTGTCTTGTCACCTCCTCATTCTCTTTGTAAATACAGTGGGGTTGATACTGCAGGAAGTATACTAGGCTTAATTAGATTTCAGTCATGAATTAAAGTTGTCATTTGGGGAAGTATATAAAATACCTCCAATACAAAAAATATTTTCAAAATTAATGAGAATTTCTAAAATGCCAACAGGACTGACAACACTGAGACAGGGTAGAAACCAACATTAAGTTAGAGGGATAGGTTCAATCATGGTTACAACATACACAAGTAAAGCAAGATGCAGAGAAGACAGATCACATCAAACATTTGAAGACCACAAAATCCTACCAACTGGATTGGTGAAGCGGTAAAATCTATTGCATTGTAATTTAAACAGAAATGATTAACTGTATAGGGATGTTAAATATCTTTAGAGCACAATGTCTTTTGCATTTTTTGGGGGGGGCGACATGAATTTGTTCAAATTTATGTAACTGTAAAAGCAGGTACACTCCTTACATCAGTTGACCATATGACAGCTGTCACCACCACCAAGGCTTTCTTAAAGGCTAGGTGAAAATAGGGAGACATTTATCATTTGTCCACTGGTCATAAAACTTTTATGATTATTAAGACCTTCACTAATAAGAATTGCTATAATTTAAATGTTCTAGATATTGTATTTTTTATTGAATTTTTACAACCTTTTTTGGCATTTGAGTTTATATGTCCATTTTGACTTTGAAGATGACAATGCTATAAAATGCACTGTAAGGTAAAAGGATTTTTTTTTTTTTTTTTGAGATAGAGTCTTGCTCTGTTGCCCAGGCTGGAGTGCAGTGGCACGATATTGGTTCACTGCAACCTCCGCCTCCCGGGTTCAAGCGATTCTCCTGCCTCAGCCTCCCGAGTAGCTGAGATTACAGGCGCCTGCCACCGAGCCTGGCTAATTTTTGTATTTTTAGTAGAGATGGGTTTTCACTATCTTGGCCAGGCTGGTCTTGAACTCTTGACCTCGTGATCCACCCACCTCGGCCTCCCAAAGTGCTGGGATTACAGGCGTGAGCCACCGCGCCCAGCCAAGGTAAAGTTCTTTAAATGTTTTAAGAACAAGCAATTTCATAAGTCCTTCAGGAATTTTAAAATTACATATTAAATATTTTGGAAATGTTCTCATCCAATTAAGTCAGATGCTTACAAAGTTAATCTAATTGATCATTTATTTAAATTTAATTTTACCTTCATTATTATAAGGGTATTTAGAAATACTGAAGGACACTTAAATGACACATTACTAATTCCTTCAGGTAGCTGTGGACAATACTGAAGCATGGAACTTTTGTGAAAGAAAAGATGAATTTGATTAACAAGGGAGACTTTCATAAGAGTTACATTAAAAAGACTTATTTGCACAATCAGATAAAATACAATGTACATACAGGTAGGCCTAAATGGGAAAATGAAGCATTACCAAGAATGATTTATTAGATTAAGAAAAGAAACATAAAAAAGCATTTCTTCACTTCTCTGAGAAGTGAAATAAAGAATGGATTTGGTCAAAGTAAGAGAAGCTAGAGTAATGAAACTATATTAACTGGATTGTTTTAAAGTTCAATTGGAGAACTGCCTGTTCGAAGGGCCTTTTCATAGGAAACGAAGGGGACATAAGGTCAGGCCTCAGATAAAAATGTGAGGAGGCAAGATACATAATGTAGCCAGTTTTCCATGTTCCAGCATTTAAGGATGACACTTTCTCAGCGGAAACTACTGTCCTCCCCTTTCCACCCAAGTGGTGCTGACTCCAAAAGGGGTGCAGGTAGAAGGGAAATACAGGGAATTATATCAATTTATTTGAAAACAGCATATCCTCTCAATGGCACTAAAATACTGAGTTTATAAGAAAAATATATAGATTATATAGATTTTCATAGGCTGATAATGCCAAGAACCAATGGAGACCTCAAATTAAACACTTTCTGTGCATGAATTTTGGCAAAGAATATTTCAGAAATAATGGCAAAAAACTTAAATATTCAATGTCATAAATACAGTCATCAGTGTTTTGTCAACAACAAAATGCACTTGTATATGTAAGCAAAGGCTGGTCCTGAGACTTATAACAGGCCTTCCCTTTGGTAACATCAAAATCAACATAAAACAGAGTTGGGCAACCTAACAGAATAGAAATAAGTACCTCTGAAGACAGAAAGAAAGAAAGATGACTGTATCGTGGTCTCGTTACTGGCTGCTTTAAAAAACTAGTGGATTAAAAAGTTGTGAGAGGGAATAGAAAATTAGGAACTGCTTCTCAGAGGCACAGGCCAACCAAGAAAATGTGGTGTTGGCATTACATATATTAGGTCTACCACTGTTTAAATTTTCTTAAAAACACTGAAGAGCATTTTATAAATTACTGGATTAAATAACCTGAAGAAAAAAGAAGGAATGAGGCCTGAAGACACGTCCAATTCACTGAAGAACTGGGGCAGCCAAGAGCTTGAAAAACTAAAATTAAACACAACGGACTGTATCAGCCACAGCTTGGGCAGACCGATGGGCCCTGAATTTCTACGTTCTTTAAAATCAGGATATTATTGCAGCTCAGGGTTTAGTTTTGGAAAGATACCAGATAAATCTCAAGCAACAGTGTGAAAGAAAGGCAGAGTTCAGGCAACATTTATATAAGATCAGATGAACCCCTGATATTCCTTCCAGGTCTTGAATACAATCTGTGAAAATTCAGAGTTCAGGGGTAGAGAGTAGATTGTGAGGATTAATGAAAATGAATATTAGGTTTGATTTTCACATTAGAAAAGGGAGGTCATAATTACATTAAATGTTGGCAAATGTGAAACAGGTGTTAAAACCCAGTCTCAATTCAATAATTTGGGAGTTTATAAAATTCAATGTTGTCAACTCCAAGAGGCAAGAATAATTTTGTTTGTCTCAGTGTGCTAAGATATGACAACATAAGTAAAAGTTCACTATTTCATACTGTTGATACAAGTAAAAAACTGGTACCATAAAAATGTATACTTATGAAATGCACAAATTGTTAAATAGCTCTTCGGGGACTTTTCTTCAGGATATGAAAAAGGAGGGGGCAGAGTTGCTCTTTCCCTGGTAGATAAGCATACAAGTTATGTTCAGGCATAGGCCTTTGGGATGACCAAAGTAATCAGGAGGAAAAAGTCCTCAGATATAGCACTTTGTCATTTTGAAACTTCAAATTACAGTTAAAAAACAGGTTTCAGACTTTTTTTGAGGTAACTTGAGCTCCTGCAATCAACAACCTTCTTCACCCCATAATGTAAATGAGTATCGAAAAAAAGGAAACAAAGTAAGCCCCGTCACACGGACAGTAAGAGAAATTCTGAACTCCAGGTCTGTTCCAGGATGAGAGCCATGTCCAAGATTCTGCATTCTCTTCTTCCAACCACTCCTTTCAAGAACTCAAAATGCCAGTCAGTGCAGGTAAAGGAAGATGCACATCCGCCGGTTGCCAATTTCTGAAATTTTCTTGTTACTTCTACGATACAGACAAGTGATGCCTTCTCAACTTCGTCCAGGTTTCTTCCAATCTCCGAACACGGTGACTCCGAATCCTCTTGCCACTCCCTTCTCCAGGGACCTACCTAGGCAGCACTCCCAGCCCCTGCCAGCTCTGGAAGCTGCAGAGATCCCGACAGTCGGGGATGGGGATTGAATCCTCTCATTGCAGTGCAATTAAGCGGAACCACGACCACCGCACAGATTGGCTGACAACACACATTCCATAAGACCAGCAATCGAATTTTGAGAAGCCTTGTCCAATCAACAGGCTTTATTTGGGATTCAGTTTTTTACTTTGTTCTATTAGGAGGAAATATAATCAGCCACCAGCTTAGCCCTCCAAAAGAGGGGACAGAGATGTTTCTCCGCTTTTGCACGCTATAAAGTGAATCTACAAGTAGTAGTTGGTGGAGGGAAAATGGGCCTGCATGGAGAAGGCGCCCACCACGAAGGCACGGCCAAGCCGGGTTGCACGCAAGAAACACACAAAATACCAGGTGATTTACACAAACAGCCCCCAGGACCACCATTTTTGTGGTCCCCAAGGCAAACCAGTGGGATTCTCCCGGCAGTTTTGCGGCAACAGCTAGCTCAACAAAGCTCTGTGAAGAGGAAAAGAAGAAAGCTCCTCGTACTTTCTCCTGCCAGCCGCAGCCCCAGCCCTCCCGTGGCCGCGGCCACGAGCCCTTTCCCCCTGACAGCCCGAGGGACCCCCGCATCGCGGGTTCCGAGCCGCACAGCTCGACCTGAACCCGGGTTCCCGCGTCTCCGGCGGCCTCACGGCGCCCCCGAGGGCGGAGACGGCCCGGGCAGGGGGAGGGGCGGCCCGGGTCCGCAGGCCCCCGGGGCGGCCGCACGCCCCCTCCCGGCCCCGCAGCTTTCCCGCCTTCCCCGTTTGAACAGCTCCCGCCCGCCCTCCTCCTTCTGCCCGCTCCAGCCCCTTCCTGGGGGCGGCTGCGGCCGCTACTCCAGTCCCCGGCTCGGCCCCTGGGCTAGGCCGCGAAGGGCCTGGGGCACCCCAGAGGTGATGTCGCGGGCCCAGGGCGGCGGGTGGCGACGGGGCGGGGCTGCTGCCGCCTCAGGGTGGGGGCCCAGCCCGGTCTCCTGGGGTCTCCGCTCGCCGCTACCTTCACTCGGCTCGCCCGGATCCCGCCTCAACGCCGCCGATCGCCGCCATCTTGGAGAAGGAGAGAAAAGCGCGAGCGGCCAGGGAGCCTCAGTCGAGCCCAGAGCGCAGACTCGGGCTCCGGAGGGGGAATCCCGCTCGACCAAGAGCGCCGAGCGCATCGAATAAAACTCGGAGCCTGCTGAGCGCGGGAGCTGGCACTTATTTATTGAGAATTTGCTATGTCCCAGCCTTGCCCTAGAAGCTTACAAACATTATTTCACTTAATCCTCACTGTATTCCTGTCGCATTTTGCAGAAGAGAACCAGGCTGAGAGAAGTTAAGTGACGTGCCCAAGGATACACAGGTAGTTGGAATGTGAGACCGAGTATTACTCCAAGTCTTCTGATTCTGAATGCAGTGCTTTCCCCAAAATACTATGCTGTTTCTTTCAAGATATTGTTATACAGCAGTTCTCCTCTTTGCAACACCTAGATCTATGCAGATTAATAGCAGTGTGCTTATTTGGACTTCAGCATCTACATTTGAACATTTGGCATATTAGGGGTGAGGTGAAGAACTTATCTTTGTAACAATGTACAGTAAAATAATTTGCATGGCGAATCATCTACATTTTTTAGTTAGAAACAGTCTTCAGAGAGAGAGAGGAAGAGATGTCATATACAGGCGAGAACACAATTTTTCTGATTTGCCATTGAGAACTTCGACCAATGAGTAGAAATTACAGTGTATAGAACTTGGTTTGATATGAAGAAGAACGCCAGGGGCGGTGGCTCACGCCTGTAATCCCAGCACTTTGGGAGGCTGAGGTGGGTGGATCACCTGAGGTCAGGAGTTCGAGACCAGCCTGACCAATGTGGTGAAACCCCGTCTCTACTAAAAATACAAAAAATTAGCCAGGCGTGGTGGCGCGTGCCTGTAATCCCAGCTACTTAGGAGGCTGAGGCAGGAGAATCGCTTGAACCCGGGAGGCGGAGATTGCAGTGAGCCGAGATTGCGCCACTGCACTCCAGCCTGGGGGACAGAGTGAGACTCCATCTCAAAAAATATATATATATATGAAGAATAACTTATTTTTCTAGTACAGTTCAGTAGTACAATGGGCTTCCTTGTGAGTAGTGAGCTCCCTCCCACTGGAGGAGCGCTCAAGCAGAAGCTGGTGTTACTGTAAAGCAGAGAAGTTAGAGATGTAGATTGGCTTCTAGAGTTGTGAACCCCATGCAACGTAAAATCATGTGTGCAGTGTGTGTTTTCCTAGGGCCCAGGCCCCATAAAAAATTAAGAACCTCTGTCCTAGTGTATTTTCCATTGCAGAGTTGGGTGAGTGCTTGAAGACGAGGTAGTCATGAGACCAATAAAAGCAAGGTGATTTGTCTGAGACCACACTCTAATCAGTGATCAGATAAAGATGAAAAGCCAGATTGTTAGACTCTGGTTCAGTGCTCTTTTTGCTATATCATGCTCTCTCCCCCTCTGCACTGAGTAGAAGATTGATTCTGTTTCTTACAACTGTGAGATGCTGAGATGTTAAAACACCTGAGATAAAGTTGCTGAAATCATTTGCAAAATGTAACTGCAAATACTTAATAAAAGTAGCATGGCCTTTTTCTCCGCAGCTCCCATCCTACTCACCAAAAAGACAGGCAATGAGTTTCACCAAAAGGTGTTAGATTGCATTTCTGGGACACCCTGCCTGACGTTAGGCTTCCCTTTGAGGCATTTAAGAGCCCTAATGATGTATTTCCTTTTTGTTCTTCAGAGCCCTAAATCCATTGGTCAGGATGATTTCAGTTGTGACAGAAACCCATTTCCATGTGTTTCCCCAGAAGAGGGGAATTTATTGGCTCACATGATTGAAATTTCCAGTACCTGCAGACATGGTCACTTCCAGGGAGGTAACTCAAGCTGGTCCTTTGACGTGTCTGTGGTGCTCTCCTCTGTTAGCTTTATTCTCAGATTCAGGTGATGACTCCAGCAGCTCCAAGCTTCATCATCTTTCCTGCTAGCAGTGTCCCTGTGGAGGGAGGTTTTGTTTGTTTGTTTTGAGACAGGGTCTTTCTCTGTCACCCAGGCTGGAGTGCAGTGGCACGATCACAGCTCACTGCAGCTTCGACCCCCTGAGTTCAAGCAATCCTCCCACCTCAGCCCCCCAAGTAGCTGGGACCACAGGTGCATGCCACCATGCCCAGGTACTTTTTGTATTTTTTGTAGAGATGGGTTTTTTTTGTTGTTTTTTTTTTACCATGTTGCCCAGGCTGGTCTCAAGCTCCTGGACTCAAGCAATCCTCCTGCCTTGGCCTCCCAGAGTGCTGGGATTACAGATGTGAGCCACCATGCCTGGCCCTGGAAGGAGTTTCTTTTTCCCTTTTGCTTTGGCAAAAGTCATGGGATTGATTCTTATTGCCTGAATTAGATCATGTGTCCAGACAAAAAGCAATCACTATGAGTAAAGGTGTGGAGTCTGCTGCTGCTGCTGATTGGTTAAATTAGGTCATCTGCTTACCTCCAAAATTAGGTTGGGGTAGACACAAAGAAAATCAAGGGTTGCTGTCAGAAGGGTGAGTGCATGTTAGGTAGGCAAAAACAGTAGCTGTCCCCACACTCTACCACTAGCTTGGACCTAAAAGCCTTATGAGTCCTATTGGTCCCATTTCTTCTTTTAGTCCACCTGAAGATGGAGCATATCAAGTTCTTGCTCATTTTAAGCTCCTGGAGACCTGAAGTCAGATCTCTCCTCAGCCTACTCACTCAATCACAAAATGCTATTAACTTGCTCCCAGTCTTGGATCATTGCACTTCCATTTATTAAACAGATATTTATTGAAAACACAGCATGTGGCAGGTACTGTCTTAAGTGTTGGGAATAGAACAGTGAACAGAATTGAGAGTCCTTGGCCCCCAGGAGCTTACATTCCGGTTGGGTTGGGGGACACAAAATTAAGATATGAATACTACATTCAGTGATAATCAGAGGTGGAGAAAATAATGCCAGGTTGGCTACGAGAGTACCAGCAGGGGATGTGGGTAGGAACAGCTTGTTCTTTAAAACAGTAATCAGGGAGGCTTCTCTGTTGAGGTGCACACCGGAGCTAGCTCAGCCAGAAGTGGGTTGGTGGTGGGAGCCAGGAGATCATAGTTCCTTGAATGTATTCAAGTGCTTCCTCTGTACCTTGCTGGAAAAGTATTCTTTGCTGACTATCTTTCATAGTTCTCTTGCATTTTTGAAACTTGGAAAGACAGAAAAGAGGACCCTCTGGGCAGGCCTAGTCATGGTGGGGTTTGTGAATAAGAATGCCTTTTCCCATGGCAAGTGAGGATAGCATCTAGCATATGTGAAGAGGGGGCACTCCCTAAGTGTGGGGCAGTTCTCTGGTCCACCTGATCTAAGGAAAACTGCCTGGTGCCTGGCAGCAACAGGTGGGGCCTGTCAAATTGTGCTTGGTTTGGACATCTCTTTCTTCAGGCCACTTTTCTGTGCTCTTCTCTTTCCAGATGTGTTTTGAGCAGCGTCTTTGTCTTCGGTCTGATGGGAGGATGCCATCCTGGGTACATACATTAGGCCAGGGCCTTTTGCTAGAAGTGACAGGACCTAATTAAAACTACCTTAAGAGACAGGCAGAGGGACATACCACAGATTCTCAGTCTGTGTGTATGCCCTAAATTGCAAAATTAAAAAAATAAAGAGACCAGTAGAAAATATGTAACTCATGTAAAAAACAAAACAAAACAAAAACTACTCAGAGCCAGAGAGAAGCAGGCCCTCTGGACAGCTGGGTCCGGGGATTCAAATCCTTCCCTCTTAACTCTGTTCTCTCAGGCTGGCAGTCCCTAGGGGCCTGGAATCATGGCCACAGGTAGCCCAGGCTTACATCTTTATAGTCTCCTGACCAGAGAGGAAAGAGCATGTTCCCACATCAGCAACACACATACACACACACACACGCGCGCGCGCGCGCGCACAAAATCCAAGAGAAGAACTCCAATTGGCTGGGATGGGGTCATGTGATCATTCAGTATTGTGATAGTTCCTGGGATACCACAAAGTTGCAATAGGACATTAGTCCTTCTATAAAAGAAAGGGGATCTATTCTGGGAAGACAAATAATAAATGTCCCCTATGGTGAAGCAATGATACTTGTTTTCCTGCTTTTGAGCAACTTATTATCTTCTGTGTGTATGTGTGTTTTGTGGGCAATGTAAAACAAGTCTAAGTCCATAATTACTATGGTACAAATGTAAAAGAAAAATGTGCCCCAATAGATGGGCCATCTCTCATTGGGCTATTACAATAGCTTCCTAATGGATTTTTATCTTCAGGGCCCCTTCCCCACTTCGAAGTCCATCCGCCATTGCTGTCAGGATAAAGCACTGCTAACATGAGCTTATACTTCAGCTAATGACTTTTTTCTTTTTTTTTTTTTTTTTTGAGATGGAGTTTTGCTCTTGTCGCCCAGGCTGGAGTGCAGTGGCATGACCTCGGCTCACTGCAACCTCCGCCTCCCGGATTCAAGCGATTCTCCTGCCTCAGCCTCCCAAGTAGCTGGGATTACAGGTATGTGCCACCACACCCAGCTAATTTTTGTGTTTTTAGTAGAGATGGGGTTTCACATGTTGGCCAGCTGGTCTTGAACTTCTGATCTCAGGTGATCCGCCTGCCTCAGCCTCCCGAGCTGGGATTACAGGCGCGTGCCATCATGCCCAGCTAATTTCTGTATTTTTAGTAGAGATGGGGTTTCTCCATGTTGGTCAGGCTGGTCTCGAACTCTTGACCTCATGATCCACCCGCCTTGGCCTCCCAAAGTGCTGGGATTACAGGCGTGAGCCACTACGCCTGGCCACATTTTCTTGTCTCTAATGGGTCCCCCACACTCCACCACTTTTGCCAGCTCATGCATCTAGCTAGCAACATGCAGCTAGAAAGCTCCTATTTATTCTTCAAGATC
The DNA here is from genome assembly GCF_000001405.40 of Homo sapiens. NCBI lineage: Eukaryota > Metazoa > Chordata > Mammalia > Primates > Hominidae > Homo > Homo sapiens. The sequence continues at coordinate 35,252,615 of NC_000022.11, read as the reverse complement.
TAACTTGATACTGACAGATAAATAGATAAACGTGGCATATACGTACAGTGGGATATTACTCAGTCTTAAAAAGAGGGAAATCCTGCCATCTGTGACAACATGGAAGGAGATTATTCGAAGTGAAACAAGCCCATCACAGAGGGACAAATATTGCATGATCGTGCTTCTGTGAGGTCTCTGTAATAGTCAAGCTCATAGAAACAGAGAATTCAATAGTTGCCAGGAGCTGGAGCATGGGGGAAATGGAAAGTTGTTGTCCAGTGGGTGTAAAGTTTCGGTTATGCAAGATGCATATGTTCTAGAGACCAGCTATACAACAGTTAGCAATACAGTATTGTGAACTTCAAAATATAAGAAGGCAGATCTCGTGTTTAGTGTTTTTTGTTTGTTTGTTTGTTTTTGAGACAGAGTCTCTCTCGGCCGCCTAGGCTGGAGTGCACTGACACGATCTCAGCTTACTGCAGCCTCCACCTCCTGGGTTCAAGTGAGTGTCCTGCCTTAGCCTCCCAAGTAGCTGGGATTACAGGCACGCACCACCACACCCGGCTAATTTTTGTATTTTTAATAGAGTCGGGGTTTCACCATGTTGGCCAGGCTGGTCTCTAACTCCTGACCTCAGGTGATCCACCCGCCTTGGCTTCCCGAAGTCCTGGGATTACAGGAATGAGCCAGTCACCGCACCTGACCAAAACTACCATGTTAAGTGTTTTTTTAACCACCAAAACCGAGCCAAACCAAAACACCAAAAACAAAAACAAAAGGACACATGGAAACTTTGGGAGGTGGCAGATGTGTCTATTACCTTGATTTTGATGATGGTATCATGGGTATTTGCATATGACCCAGTCATCAAGTTTTACACATTAAATATGTGCACTTCCTTGCGTATCAATTATACCTCAATAAAACTGTTTAAAAAAGATTAGATAAAGCCACGAAAATAATCTAATTTGAATGCCCCCTCTTCAAGTCATCTTATTTTCCCACACACCTGGTAACATGTATCTATTACTGCATTTCCCATATTGCATTGCAACAATCCTTTTACACACCTTGTTCCCCTGTTCCTCAAGGACAGGGCCTGTTTCTAAGTCATCTTTGTCCCTCTGGGCACATGGTGAATACAGTTTTCAAAGAATCCTTTTGATTAGATGTCACTGAATGAAGAGTGGGACAAAAAACTTTTCTTGGGACTCAGAGGAGGCAGATGAGAATTGTTTTGGAAAGTTATAGGAGTTGTAGGCCGGGCGCGGTGGCTTATGCCTGTAATCCCAGCACTTTGGGAGGCTGAGGCAGGTGGATCACGAGGTCAGGAGATCGAGACCATCCTGGCTAACATGGTGAAACCCCGTCTCTACTAAAAATACAAAAAAATTAGCCGGATGTGGTGGCAGGTGCCTGTAGTCCCAGCTACTCGGGAGGCTGAGGCAGGAGAATGGCATGAACCTAGGAGGCGGAGCTTACAGTGAGCCAAGATCGCGCCACTGCACTCTAGCCTGGGTGACAGAGCAAGACTCCGTCTCAAAAAAAAAAAAAACAGAAAGAAAGTTATAGGCATTGTATTGGCAATGGGTTTGGTTTGCCCAGTCCATCCCCCATTGTCTGTAGCAGGAAAGGCCACTGCCCAGGCTACAGGAGTGGGCAGATAACTCCAGCCAAGGTAATCATAATACATCCACTTGAGCTTTCCTGCAGGTGTTTGAAAACTTCAGAAGGAGTCAAAAGGCCCTTTGTAGCTCTCAAGTGGTGAGGATTATGAGGGGCTGCCCCAAGCCATGTGGGTAGAGACTGTGAAAATCAGAAAGACACAGAGAGAGGCTCAGAGATGCTTGGTACCTGGATCAAGTCATCCCTGAGGTCCCTGCCCCTGCCCCTGCCCCTTCAGTGTTATGTCATGTGAGCCAAGCATCTCCCCCACTCCCCTTTGTGTAAGCTGACCGGTTTGCTCCTCTGTCATTTGGAACCAAGAGGACCTCCCGGTTGATATGGTGATATGGTTTGGATGTCTTGTCCCCTCCAAATCTCATGTTGAAATGTGACCTTCATGGTTGGAGGTGGACCTAGTGGGAGGTGTTTGGGTCATGGGGGGCAGATCCCTCATGAATGGCTTGGTGCTGTGCTCCTGTAATGGGTGAGTTCTCTCTCTAGATATGCATAATGAATGAGTTCTTGCTTTACGAGTTCATGTAAGATCTGCTTGTTTAAAAGAGGCTGGAACTTCCTCCTCTCTCTCTTGCTCCAGCTCTCTGCATGTGACACGCTGACTCCCCTTCTGCCATGATTGTAAGTTTCGTCACTAGAAGCAGATGCCGACACTATGCTTCATGTACAGCCTGCAGAACTGTGAGCCAAGTAAACCCCTCTTATTTATAAATTACCCAGTCTCAAGTATTCCTTTATACAATGCAAATGAACTAGTACATGCAGCTTCAGGGAAGAGGGGGCCTTTGAGCTGGTCCTTGTCTGTGGGTTGGAATGTGGTGGGGTAGGATGGGAGGACATTCCTGATGGGAGAAACTGGGTGAAAGGAGGTAAGGAGGGTCAGTACTGCCTTGTGTCTTTGGAATGACAAGCAGTGGCATTTTCTGGTATGTGGCGTCAGTTCCTGAGAGTTCTCAGGGAAGGTTGGGAACATGCTGAGGGTTTGTACTTAACCTGGAAGGACCTGGGCCAGCCCCTACCTTCTCCTCCAGAACTGCTGCCTCTCCCTCCCATCTGTGCATTTGTATCTCATGGTGACTCTCTCCATTAAAATATTTTTTTTTCTTTTCTTTTTCTTTCTAGGGGTTTTCTGGTGAAGACCGGAAAACCTGCTAGACAAATTCTAAAATAGCAGTAACATTTTACATTTTGTCTTCCCCTTCTTTTCACAGAATAATATTTAAAAATGCGAAGATATTTCAAAGTACAAACATCCATGTACCCACCACCCAGAGTGAATACATATTAACATTATTCTACTATAATGGCTTCAGATTCTTTTTTTTAAAAAAATTGTTTTAGTTAAGAAAACACATGAACACAGTTTAGGCCCCAGATCTATCCCCAGCACCCTTCTCAGAGGAATAGAAATTGGTGTGTCTTTCCTGTCCATGTTCTGATCACCTATTTGCAGGAGAAGCAGTATAGCCCATATTTGATTACATGCAGTACAAAATATTGGTAAGAGTCAAGAAGTTAAAAAAAATTAAAAAGTTTATAAAGTAAAAAAGTTACAGTAGCAAGGTTAATTTATTATTAAAGAAAGAAAATTAAAGGCCAGGTGCAGTGGCTCACGCTTGTAATCCCAGTACTTGGGGGAGGCTGAGGTGGGTGGATTACCTGAGGTCAGGAGTTCGGGACCAGCCTGGTCAACATGGTGAAATCCCGTTTCTACTAAAAATACAAAAATTAGACAGGCGTGGTGGTAGGTGCCTGTAATTCCAGCTACTCAGGAGGCCGAGGCAGGAGAATCACTTGAATCCGGGAGGCAGAGGTTGCAGTGAGCCAAGATCGTGCCACTGCACTCCAGCCTGGGTGACAGAACAAGACTCTGCCTCAAAAAAAAAGAAAAGAAAATTATAAAAATAAATTTAGCATAGCCTAAGTGTATAGTGTTTATAAAGTCTACATTAGTGTTTAGTAATGCCCTAGGCCTTCACATTCATTTACCACTCATTCACCCAGTCACCCAGAGCAACTTCCAGTCCTGCAGGCTCCATTCATGGAAAGTGCCTGATACGGTTTGGATGTTTGTCACCTCCAAATCTCATGTTGCAATGTAATCCCCAGCATTGGATGGGGCCCGGTGGGAAGTGACTGGATCATGGGGGGGGATCCTTCATGAGTGGTTTAGCACCATCCTCTTGATGATAAGTGAGTTTTTCTTCAGCTGGTTCACTAGAGATCTGGTTGTTTAAAAGTCTGGGACCAGCCGGGTGTAGTGGCCCGTGCCTGTAATCCTAGCACTTTGGGAGGCCAAGGTGGGTGGATTGCCTGAGCTCAGGAGTTCGAGACCAGCCTGGGCAACGTGGTGAAACCCTGTCTCTACTAAAATATGAAAAATTAGCCAGGTGTGGTGGCGAGCGCCTGTAGTCCCAGCTACTCGGGAAGGTGGCAGGAGAATCACTTGAACCTGGGAGGTGTAGACTACGGTGAGCTGTGATTGCGCCACTGCACTTCAGCCTGGGTGACGGAGCGAGACTCCATCTCCAAAAAAAAAAAAAAAAAAAAAAGTCCCGACCTCCCCTGCCCATTGCTCCTGCTCTCGCCATTGCCTTCTGCCATGATTGATTGTTCACTTCCTGAGGGCACACCAGAAGCAGATGCCAGCAGCATGCTTCCTGTAAAGCCTGCAGAACCATTAGCCAATTAAACCTCCTTTCTTTACACATTACCCAGCCTCAGGTATTTCTTTGTAGCAATGAAAGAACTGGCTAACACAGTGCCCTATACGGGTGTACCATTTTGCAACCTTTTGTACTGTATTTTTATTGTACCTTTTCTATGTTTAGATATGTTTAGATACAATACAATTGTAACACAAATACCATTGTGTTACAATTGCCTACAGTATTCAGAGCAGTTACATGCTATAGACATTTGTAGCCTAGGAGCAATAGGCCATACCATGTATCCTGGGTGTGTGATAGGCTATCCCATCTAGGTTTGTGTAAGTGCACTCTCTGGTGATTGCATAACAATAAAATCACCTAATGATGCATTTCTCAGACTGTATCCCTGTTGTTAAATGACACATGATTTTGTTAACAACTTGTTTTGCTCACTTAAAATTATGTCTTTGGGAGACTTTGCTTCCAGCTAAGTTGGAGTAACAGGGACCAGATTTCCCCTGCTGCCTGGGATAATGAAAACAAACAAACAAACAAACAAACAAACCAGCAAAAAAAAGTCTAAAATGGTTTTCAGACATTATGCATCGGGCAGCACAAGGGAGTGACCTCCGAGACAGGGAGACAAACTATGGCTGCCTTGGCTTAATGCCTGGAGAGTTTCCAGAACAGTTTATTGATCTCTTTGGAGCCCCATGGTATCTCTGAGTTGAGGAGATGGAGTGGGGAGTTTGGGGAGGCCAAAGTGGCTGGCATTCACACGCAGAGCATGGAAGAGGAGAGCGCTAACTGGAAAGACAGTTCCAGCTCTTGTGAGAGTCCCTCTTGCATCTTCAGCAAATAGTGATCAGCTAATGCATGCAAAGACAGCACCCAATGCTGGAGAAGGCCACCTGAAGGACTGGAGGGAACAATCTCTGTAGCTCGTGGAGTGCTGGAACCATATGGGTTCCCATCAGCCAGGACGGACATCTGGTGGTGCACTCGGGAGTGAGGGAAATTAGCCCTAGAGTAAAGGCCTCTCTGATCCATCCAACAAGGCTTAGAAACAAACCTTGAAAGCATCAAACTGTTTTTAAGTATCTTCACTGTGTCACAGAACAAAGCTCAAGACAGTCTATAGGAATACAAATATCCAGTGCCCAAACAAGGTAAAATTCACAATACCTGGCATTCAATAAAAAAATCACCAGGCATGGAAAAAAAGCAGGAAAATGTGACCCACAATGGGAAGGAAAATCAATCCATATAGACAGACCCAGAAAAGACACAGATGACAGAATTAGAAGACAAGGACAATAAACACAGTCATTATAACTATATTCCATATGTTCAAGAAGGTGGAGGGAAGATTAAGTGTGCCGAGCAGGGACACAAAAGATGTAAAAGGAACTCAAGAAGTCATCTGGTTCCAGGAAGATGGCGTGGATGTGCTTCTTCCTGTCCTTGCTAAGTACAACTAAACACCTTGGATTTTACATACAAAACAAATGCAAGAAGATACTGCAAGGTGGGGAGAAGAAGGCAGAACAACCGGGGACCTCAGGACCTGAAGAAGTTCCCTGGGGTTTCCTTTTGCCTGATATATACCAGATGGGGTGCTGGAGGAGTGGGCAATGTGGAAGAGCCAACAGGGGCACACAAAGCCCAACAGAAGCATGCTCTTTCTAGCCAGCCACCCCCTAGCAAGACAGAGAACTTTGAGAAAATACGGCCGGGAGCGGTGGCTCACGCCTGTAATCCCAGCACTTTGGGAGGCCGAGGCAGGTGGAACACGAGGTCAGGACATTGAGACCATCCTGGCTAACACGGTGAAACCCCGCCTCTACTAAAAAAATACAAAAAATTAGCCGGGCATGGTGGGCACCTGCAGTGCCAGCTACTCAGGAGGCTGAGGCAGGAGAATGGTGTGAACCCGGGAGGCGGAGCTTGCAGTGAGCCGAGATCGTGCCACTGCACTCTATCCTGGGCGACAGAGCGAGACTCCATGTCAAGAAAAAAAAAAAGAAAATAATTGCTCCACTCCAGTCAAACACCACAGAATAGGCGGTGGACCCATACCACCTGTGCCAGCAAAGGCTGAGTGGGGAGCCCAGACTTCCACTTTCTTTGAGCACCTCAACCCTGCCCTCCTGCACCCCCTTCCCATCCCAGGTGGTGTCAGGGAAGGTCAAGAGGAAGCTGGGGCTTTCGTCCCCTTGCATAGTAATGAGGCCCCACTCTCACCCAGCCACAGTGACAGTGGAGATTATGTGGGGAGCTGCACCCAGCAGTAATTAGCCACCCCTCCCTGTTCTGGTTGGGGTGGTGTCAGAGGAGGCCAAGGAGAGAGTCAGGACTGCCACCACTGCCTGGAAGTAATGAGGTCCCCCTGGACCTGGTGTCAGTGGGACCCTGTGGGGATCAATAACAAGGCACTCCTGCCTCTCCCACCCAGGAGAGAGCAGCAGAAGCCTAGCAGAGGGCCGAAGCTCCCACTCTTGGGCAGCAGTAATGAGGAACCCCCCTCTGGTGTCAATGGTGGCAACCTGGACTTCTACCCCCAGCTAGCAGTAATGAGGCGGCAAACCCCTCTTTGCCCTGCTAGAGTGGTATCAGAAAAAGGTAACTAAACTGAAGGTTTAAGTAAGATCTAGAGTCTCCTAACATAATACCCCAAATGTGCAGATTTCAATCAAAAGGCACTCATCCTACCAAGAACCAGGAAGATCTCCAACAGAATGAAAGAAGACAATTGATAGATACCAACAGCAAGATGACAGAGACGTTACATTTATCTGTTGAAGATATTAAAGCAGCCATCATAAAGATACTTCAGTGAGCAATTATGAACGTGATTTAAAAAAAGAAAAAAATTCTTAAGAGGGCTGTAGGCAGTAAAATAAAAAACAATAATATAAATACAAAATATTATAAAAAGAGAAAAAAGATAGTCTCAGCCAAAAAAAAAAAAAATAGAAAGTTTCATAAAATAAGAGAAAAAGAAATAAATAATATATAGAAGAGCTAACAAAAAACCCAATGGATGAGCTCAACGGCAGAATGGAGGTGGAGCAGAGGAGGCGGAGGGACAAGTGAACTTGAAGACGGAATATTAGAAAATAACCAATATGGGCCGGGTGCAGTGGCTCACAGCTGTAGTCCCCGCATTTTGGGAGGCCAAGGTGGGTGGATCACGAGGTCAGGAGTTTGAGACCAGCCTGGCCAACATGGTGAAACCCCGTCTCTACTAAAAATACAAAAAGTTAGCCGGGCGTGGTGGCGGGCACCTGTAATCCCAGCTACTCGGGAGGCTGAGGCAGGAGAATCGCCTTGTTTGAAATGTTTGTTCCCCAGTGCTGTAAAGAAACTGTACTTGAACATAAATTTAATGTTCTCAGTAAGGCCATTTTTATACTTTTTATAGAAAGGGTACAGTTGCCAGCAGTTTTGTTACGAGAGTATACTGAACAAAGGAGACAGGGTCATTTATAACCTGATGCCTGACGTGTTTACCCTGCTGCTGTGTTCAGTTTCCATTGGCCGGAACGGGACCTCATATTTTGTATTTGTCCTGATTGGCTAGCAACTTAGAACTTTTAAAAGGGGCAAAGGCAGAGGAGAACAAAGAAAGGAGGAAGTAACCTGTGGAATGCTGGGAAAGGTAAAAACACCTTTAAATAAGGAAGAGGAACAGGCTATGACCCAATGCTTGTTTGGACCAGTATAAGTATGCCAGGGCAAATATTTAGGCTAAACTGTGGGAGCTAAGAACATAAAGTTCATTGATTTATTACAGCTAGCAGATATTTAAGAATGTTAGCACAGGTCTTTGAATAAATTTTGTTTTTAAGGGAAGTTACTATTTATTCTTAATTAGATGGGGAGGAATTTTTTGAAGAGAAAACTCTATTTTACGAGGAGGCAGAGGTTGCAGTGAGCCGAGATCACGCCATTGTACTCCAGCCTGGGCGACAGAGCAAGACTCCGTCTCAAAAAAAAAAAAAAGAAAAAAGAAAAAGAAATTAACCAATATGAACAATAGAAAAAAAATAGACTGAAAATAAAATGATCAGGGTCTCAGGAATTCATGGGACTACAACAAAAGATCCAACATTCCTATCATGAGTCCTAGAGAGAGGAAATAAAAGGGCAGGGCTGGAAAAGTATATGAAGAAATAATTGCTGAAAATTCCCAAATTTGGCAAAAGACATAAGCTTAAATATTCAAGAAGGTGAACAAATCTCAAAATAGATAAACCCAAAGAAATTCATTCCAAGACACATCATAACTAAACTTTTGAAAACTAAATACAAAAAAAACCTTGAAAGCAGCCAGGGAAAAATGTTTATCTTATACAAGAGAAACAACCTGAATGGGAAAAAAATTTCTCATCAGAAATCATGGAGGCCAGAAGGAAGTGGAGCAATATTTTTCAGGTGCATTAAGGAAAGAACTGTTGGCCAGGCATGGTGGCTCACACCTGTAATGCCAGCACTTTGGGAGGCCAAGGTGGGTGGTTCACTTGAGGCCAGGACTTTGAGACCAGCCTGGACAACATGGTGAAACCCTGTCTCTACTAAAAATACAAAAATTAGCCGGGCGTGGTGGCATATGCCTGTAATCCCAGCAACTTGGGAGGCCCAGCCACAAGAATTGCTTAAACCCCGGAGGTGGAGGTTGCAGTGAGCCGAGATCACACCACTGCACTCCAGCCTGGGTGGAGTGAGACAGAGTGAGACCCTGTCTCAATAACAACAACAACAACAACAATAAAAAAAGAAACAAACAAAAAAAACTCTTAAATATCTGTGACAGTTCATTTACTTACCAACTTGACTAAGGGATGCCCAGATAGCTGGTAAAGTGTTATTTCTGGGTGTGTCTGTGAATGTGTTTCTGGAAAGGATCAGCATTTCTTTTTTATTTTCTTTTAGACTGAGTTTCTTTCTTGTCACACAGGCTGGAGTGCAATGGCGTGATCTCGGCTCACTGCAACCTCCACCTCCTAGGTTCAAGCAATGCTCCTGCCTCAGCCTCCCAAGTAGTTGGGATTACTGGTGTGCGCCACCACACCTGGCTAATTTTGTATTTTTAGTAGAGACAGGGTTTCACCATGTTGGCCAGGCTGGTCTCGAACTCTGGACCTCAGGTGATCCACCCGCCTTGGCATCCCAAAGTGCTGGAATTACAAGCGTGAGCCACCGCGCCTGGCCCCATACATTCTTTTCAAGTGCCAACAGAATATATGCCAAGATGGACTACATTCTGGGCCATAAAACAAATCTCAACAAATTTAAAAGAAATCATACAGAGACAATTTTGTTCACAGACAAAAATGGAATCAAACTAGAAATTAATAATAGAAAGATAATAGTAAAATCTCCATACACTTGAAAACTAAGCAACACACTTCTGTAGAGTCTTTGAGTCAAAGAGGAAGTCTGAAAAAGATGAACAAGTACCTTAAACTGAATGAAAATGAAAACACAACATATCAAAATTTATGGGACACAGCTAAAGGCGGGCCGAGAGGGAAATATATAACACTAAATGAATACATTAGAAAAGAGGTCTAAATCAATAATTGAAGCTCCCATCTCAAGAACCTGGATAAAGAAGAGAAAACTAAATCCAAGGCAGAAGGAATAAAATAATACAAATAAGAGGCAAAATCAGTGAAGCTGGAAACAGGAAAACAATGGAGAAAATCAGTGAAGCAAAGGGCTAGTTCCTTGATAAGATCAGAGAGAGAGAGAGAGAGAGAGAGAGAGCAGATTACTATTATCAGTAATGAAACAGGAGATATCACTACAGACCTTGCAGACACCAAAAGAATAATAAGGGAGTATTTTGAACAACTCTACACACATAAATTTGACAACCTAGATGAAATAAATCAATTCTTCAAAAAACACCAACTATTTAATACCACAAATAGATCTTTTTACTAGCCCTATAGCTATTAAGGAAATCAAAATTATAATTTAAATTTAGCAGCCTAGATGAAATGGATCAATTCTTCAAAAAACACACACTATCACAAATAGATCTTTTTACTAGCCCTACAAACTATTAAGGAAACCAAAATTATAATTTGAAATTTCTCAAAAATTAAGTCTCCATGCCCAGATGATTTTGCCAGAGAATTCTCCTAAATGTTTAAAGAAGAATTTTAAAAACTCTATAAAATATCTTCCAGAAAACAGAAGAGAACACTTTCAAGTCTATTTTATGAAGCTAGTATTACCCCGAGAGCAAAACCAGAGAAGACAGTATAAAAAAGGAATCTACAGATTAATATCCCTTGTGAATATAGGCACAAACATCCTTAGTAAAATATTAGCAAGACCAGGGATCATGGCGGATGGGAGGCAGGACTAGGTTGCAGCTCCGGACAGAGCAGCGTGCTGAGGCTTGCATTGTGAATTTTAGCCCCAGGTCGACTGCAAGAACAAACCAGCAATCCTGAGAGGACCCACAGACCCTCTGAAGGAAGTGGACTGCTCCTGCAGGACCCAGGAGACACCCCAAATACTGTGAGTGCCCCAACTGCAGAAGTGGGAAAGGGAGACCCCCCTCTCCCGAACACACGCCCCCAGTGGAGAAGCTGAAGGTCTGTTTGAGGAAGTTCTTGACTTTACCTGGAGCTGAGTCAAGTTAGAGAGCTGAGCTGAGCGAAATACAGGGGTAGAGGAAGCAGCAGGGAGGCCCTGGGAGCTCAGTGGATCCCGAAGCAGCCCATTCCTGCCTGGCACCACCGGGATCCATCAGGAGGGTGGCCAGAGGAGCAGGGGGTAAAACTCCACAGGGACAAGGACTTTTCTAGATGAACTTTGTAACAATTTGAACGGGGCGAGAAGCCTGGGCCAGAACTTGGGGGAGGGCACGAATCTGGCTTGCAGACTTCTCAGGCGGGGGAAGAACTAAAGCCCTTTTCTTTCCCAGCTGGGAGGCAGAAAGCCTTGGGCAAGTCTTCAAGCTCAACTTGCCCTCCACCTGGAAACATATTTGGGGCTGTTGCGGGGGTCAAGGTGGAAGTGAGACTGACCCTTGGGTTTGCATGGGAGTTGGATAAGGCCTGTGACTGGCTTTTCCCCTCTTCCCTGACAACCTGCATGACTCAGCAGAGGCAGCCATAATCCTCCTAGGTACACAACTCCAGTGACCTGGGAATCTCACCCCCATCCCCTGTAGCAGCCACGGCAAGATCTGCCCAAGGGGAGTCTGAGCTCATACACGCCTAGCCTTGCCCCCACCTGATAGTCCTTCCCTACCCAACCTGGTAGCTGTAGACAAAGTGTGCCCAGAATTGGTTCCTTCCAGTGGGTTCTTGGTCTCGCTGACTTCAAGAATGAAGCCACGAACCCTCGCAGTGAGTGTTAACAGTTCTTAAAGATGGTGTGTCCAGAGTTTGTTCCTTCAGATGTTCAGATGTGTCTGGAGTTTCTTCCTTCTGGTGGGTTCGTGGTCTCACTGACTTCAGGAGTGAAGCCACAGACCTTTGCAGTGAGTGTTAACAGTTCTTAAAGATGGTGTGTCCAGAGTTTGTTCCTTCAGATGTTCAGATGTGTCTGGAGTTTCTTCCTTCTGGTGGGTTTGTGGTCTCACTGACTTCAGGAGTGAAGCCACAGACCTTTGCAGTGAGTGTTACAGCTCATAAAGGTAGTGCAGACCCAAAGAGTGAGCAGCAGCAAGATGTATTGTGAAGAGAGAAAGAACAAAGCTTCCACAGCATGGAAGGGGACCTGAGCGGGTTGCCACTGTTGGTTCGGTGGCCAGCTTTTATTCCCTTATTTGGCCCTGCCCACGTCCTGCTGATTGGTCCATTTTACCGAGTGCTGATTGGTGCGTTTACAAACCTTTAGCTAGACACAGAGCACTGATTGGTGTGTTTATAATCCTTTAGCTAGACAGAAAAGTTCTCCAAGTCCCCACCCGACCCAGAAGCCCAGCCGGCTTCACCTCTCAAAATGACATATAATCTTGGGAGTTCTAGGGCCCTGCCCACCACCAGTCCCTCTCCACACTACTATAGCTGATGCTTTCTGGAAAGTACCACCTCCTGGCAGGAGGCCAACCAGCACAAAAATAGATCATTAAACCATCAAAGCTAAGGACCCCCGCAGAGTCCATTGCACCTTCTGCCACCTCCACTGGAACAGGTGCTAGTATACATGGCTGAGAGACCCATAGATGGTTCACATCACAGGACTCTGTGCAGACAGCCCTCAGTCCCAGCCTAGAGCTGGGTAGACTCGCTAGGTGGCTAGACCCAGAAGAGAGGCAGCAATCACTGCAGTTCAGCTTACAGGAAGCCACATGCACAGGAAAAGTGGGAGAGTACTACATCAAGGGAACACCCCATGGGACAAAAAAGTCTGAGCAACAGCCTTCAGCCCTAGACCTTCCCTCTGACAGAGCCTACCCAAATGAGAAGGAACCAGAAAACCAACCCTGGTAATATGACAAAACAAGGCTCATCGACACCCCCCACTAAAATCACACTAGTTCACCAGCAATGGATCCAAACCAAGAGGAAATCCCTGATTTATCTGAAAAACAATTCAGGAAGTTAGCTATTAAGCTAATCGGGGAGGGACCAGAGAAAGGCAAAGCCCAATGCAAGGAAATCTAAAAAGTGATACAAGAAGTGAAGGGAGAAATATTCAAGGAAATAGATAGCCTAAAGAAAAAAACAGTAAAAAAATCAGGAAACTTTGGACATACTTTTAGAAATGCAAAATGCTCTAGAAAGTCTCAGCAATATAACTGAACAAGTAGAAGAAAGAAATTCAGAGCTTGAAGACAAGGTCTTCAAATTAACCCAATCCAACAAAGACAAAGAAAAAATAATAAGAAAATATGAACAAAGCCTCCAAGAAGTCTGGGATTGTGTTAAAGGACCAAACCTAAGAATAATCAGTGTTCCTGAGGATGAAGACAATTCTAAAAGCTTGGAAAACATATTTGGGGGAATAATCAAGGAAAACTTCCCTGGCCTTGCTAGAGACCTAGACATGCAAATACAAGAAGCACAAAGAACACCTGGGAAATTCATCACAAAAAGATCTTCGCCTAGGCACATTGTCATCAGATTATCCCAAGTTAAGACAAAGGAAAGAATCTTAAGAGCTGTGAGACAGAAGCACCGGGTAACTTATAAAGGAAAACCTGTCAGATAAACAGCAGATTTTTCAGCAGAAACTCTACAAGGTAGAAGGGATTGGGGCCCTATCTTCAGCCTTCTTAAACAAATTATCAGCCAAGAATTTTGTATCCAGTGAAACTAAGTATCATATATGAAGGACAGATACAGTCATTTTCAGACAAACAAATGCTGAGAGAATTCATCATAACCAAACCACCACTACAAGAACTGCTAAAAGGAGCTCTAAATCTTGAAACAAATCCTGGAAACACATCAAAACAGAACCTCTTTAAAGCATAAATCACACAGGACCTATAAAACAAAAATAGAAGTTTAAAAAGCACAACCGAAAAACAAACCCAAAGTATGCAGGCAACAAAGAGCATGATGCATGCAATGGTACCTCATATTTCAATACTAACATTGAATGTAAATGGCCTAAATACTCCACTTAAAAGATACAGAACCACAGAATGGATAAGAACTCACCAATTAACTATCTGCTGCCTTTAGGAGACTCACGTAACTCATAAGGACTCACGTAAACTTAAAGTAAAGGGGTGGAAAAAGGCATTTCATGCGAATGGACACCAAAAGCAAGCAGGAGTGGCTATTCTTATATCAGACAAAACAAACTTTAAAGCAACAGCGGTTAAAAGAGACAAAGAGGACATTATATAATGGTAAAAGGCCTTGTCCAACAGGAAAATATCACAATCCTATATGTATATGCATCTAACACTAGAGGTCCCAAATTTATAAAACAATTATTAATAGACCTAAGAAATGAGGTAGATAACAATACAATAAAAGTGGGGAATTTCAGTACTCCACTGACAGCACTAGATAGGTCATCAAGATAGAAAGTCAATAAAGAAACAATGGATTTAAACTATATCTTGGAACAAATGGATGTAACAGACATATACAGAACATGTCATCCAACAACTGCAGAATACACATTCTATTCAACAGCACATAGAACTTTCTCCAAGTTAGGCCATATGATAGGCCATAAAATGAGCCTCAGTAAATTTAAGAAAATTGAAATTATATCAAGCACTGTCTCAGACCACAGTGGAATAAAACTGTAAATCAAATCCAAAAGGAACCTTCAAAACCATGCAAATACATGGAAATTAAATAACCTGCTCCTGAATGAGCATTGGGTCAAAAACAAAATAAAAATGGAAATTTAAAACTTCTTCGAACTGAATGACAGTGATGACACAACCTATCAAAACCTCTGGGATACGGCTAAGGCAGTGCTAAGAGGAAAGTTCATAGCCCTAAATGCCTACATCAAAAAGTCTGAAAGAGCACAAAGAGACAATCTAAGGTCACACCTCAAGGAACTAGAGAAACAAGAAAAAACCAAACCCAAACCCAGCAGAAGAAAGGAAATAACCAAGATCAGAGCAGAACTAAATGAAATTGAAACAAACAAAAAATACAAAAGAGAAATGAAACAAAAAGCTGATTCTTTGAAAAGATAAATAAAATTGATAGACCATTAGCAAGATTACCTAAGAAAAGAAGAGAGAAAATCCAAATAACCTCACTGAGAAACGAAACAGGAGATATTACAACTGACACCACAGAAATACAAAAGATCATTCAAGGCTACTATGAACACCTTTACATGCATAAACTAGAAAATCTAGAAGGGATGGATAAATTCCTGGAGAAATACAACCCTCTTAGCTTAAATCAGGAAAAATTAGATACCCTGAACAGCCAATAACAAGCAGCAAGATTGAAACAGTAATTAAAAAATTACCAACAAAAAGAAGTCCAGGACCAGGTGGATTCACAGCAGAATTCTACCAGACATTCAAAGAAGAATTGATACCAATCCTTTTGATACCATTTCACAAGACAGAGAAAGAAGGGACCCTCCCTAATTCATTCTATGCAGCCAGCATCACCCTAGTACCAAAATCAAGAAAAGACACAACCAAAAAAGAAAACTACAGACTGAGATCCTTGATTGACATAGATGCTAGAATCCTTAACAAAATACTAGCTAACTGAATCTAACAACATATCAAAAAGATAATCCACTGTGATCAAGTGGGTTTCATACCAGGGATGCAGGGATGGTTTAACATATGCAAGTCAATAAATGTGATACACCACATTAACAGAATTAAAAACAAAAATCACATGATCATCTCAACAGATGCAGAAAAAGCATTCAACAAAATCCAGCATCCCTTTATGATTAAAACCCTCAGCAAAATCGGCATGCAAAGGCTTAATGTAATAAAAGCCATCTATGACAAACCCACAGCCAACATAATACTGAATAGGGAAAAGTTGAAAGCATTCCCTCTGAGAACAGGAACAAGACAAGGATGCCCACCTTCACCACTCCTCTTCAACATAGTACTGGAAGTCCTAGCCAGAGCAATTGGACAAGAGAAAGAAATAAAGGGCATCCAGATTGGTAAGGAGGAAGTCAAACTGTTGCTGTTTGCTAACGATATCATCAGTTACCTTGAAAACCCTAAGGGCTCCTCCAGAAAGCTCCTAGAACTGATGAAAGAATTCAGCAAAGTTTCCAATACAAGATTAATGTACACAAATCAGTAGCTCTTCTATACACCAACAGCGACCAAGCAGAGAATCAAATCAAGAACTCAACCCCTTTTACAATAGCTGAAAAGAAAGAATAAAATACTTAGGAATGAAAGACCTCTACAAGGAAAACTACACAACACTGCTGAAATAAATCATAGATAACACAAACAAATGGAAACATATCCCATGCTCATGGATGGGTAGAATCAATATTGTGAAAATGATCATACTGCCAAAAGCAATCTACAAATTCAACACAATCCCCATCAAAATACCACCATCATTCTTCACAGAGTTAGAAAAAAAATTCTAAAATTCATATGGAACCAAAAAGAGCCCACATAGCCAAAGCAAGACTAAGCAAAAAGAACAAATCTGGAGGCATCACACTACCTGATTTCAAACTATACTGTAAGGCCATAGTCACCAAAACAGTGGGGTACTTGTGCAAAAATAGGCACATAGACCAATGGAACAGAATAGAGAACCCAGAAATAAACCCAAATACTTACAGCCAACTGATCTTTGACAAAGCAAACAAGAACCTAAAGTTGGAAAAGGACAGACTTTTCAACAAATTGTGCTGGGATCATTGGCAAGCCACATGTAGGAGAATGAAACTGGATACTCATCTCCCACCTTATACAAAAATCAACTCAAGATGGATTAAGGACTTAAACCTAAGACCTGAAACTATAAAAATTCTAGAAGATACTTCAATAAAGGTGTCAAAATGTCAAAAAAGGGACTCAGATTAAATTTCTAGAGATGAAAGCTACAATGCCTGACATGAAAAATGCACTAAATGGAATTAATAGCCATTTAGACACTGAAGAAGAAAAGTTTTTTTTTTTTAGATATAGCAATAGAAACCATCCAAAATGAAACATAGAAGAAAGACCCCTAAATGAAGAATTTTAGTGAGCTGTGGGACAATTTTAATTTTAACGTAAATGTAATTTGAGTACCTGGATGAGGAGAAAGACTTGAGTGTGTAGTTGCTTCATGGCGTCAATGGTGTACTTAAGTGTGCTTTTGTGGTGGCTGGTAATAGTTTTTCGTTTCCATATTTAGCCCTCCCTTAAGGATCTCTTGTAAGGCAGGTCTGATGGTAACCTAGGAAATACCATTCTAGACATAAGCCCTGGCAAAGATTCCATGACAAAGACACCTAAAGCAATTGCAATAAAACCAAAAATGGATAAATGGAAGCTAATTAAACTAAAGGGCTTCTGCATAACCTACAGAATAGGAGAAAATATTTGCAAACTATGCATCCAACAAGGGTCTAATAACCAGAATCTATAAGGAACTTAAACAAATTAACAAGCGAAAACCAAACAACCCCATTAAAAAATGGGCAAAGGACATGAACAGACAGTTTTCAAAAGAAGATGTAACACACAGCCAACAAGCATATGAAAAAATGCTCAATATCATTAATCATTAGAGAAATGCAAATCAAAACCACAGTGAGATACTATCTCACACCCGTCAGAATGACTAATTAAAAAGCCAAAAACTAACAGATGCTGGCAAGGTTGCAGAGAAAAGGGAATGCTTATACACTGCTGGTGGGAGCGTAAATTAGTTCAGCCACTGTGGAAAGCAATTTGGAGATTTCTCAAAGAACTTAAAACAGAACTACCATTTGACGCAGCAATCTCATTACTGGGTATATACCTGTAGGAGTATAAATCATTCTACTATAAAGGTACATGTACGTATATGTTCATTACAGCATTCATTATCACAATAGCAAAGACGTGGAATCAACTTAGGTGCCCATCAATGGTAAATTGGATAAAGAAAATGTAGTACGTTTATACCATGGAATACTACACAGCCACAAAAATAACAAAATCATGTTTTTTTGCAGCAGCAGCATGGATGGAGCAAGAGGTCATTATCCTGAGAAAATCAACACAGGAACAGAAAACCAAATGCCGCATGTTCTCACTTACAAGTGGGAGCTAAACAATGAGTGCACATGGACTCAAAGAAGGGAACAGTAGACACTGGGGCCTATTTGAAGGTGTAGGGTAGGAAGAGGGTGAGGATCAAATAACTACCTATTGTGTACTATGCTTATTACCTGGGTGATGAAGTAATCTGTACACCAAACCCCTGTGACACACAATTTACCCATGTAACAATCATGCACATGTACCCTAAACCTAAAATAAAAGTTGGAAGGAAAAATAGAGAACGAATACTAAAAAAAATTTGCAGAAATAATGGGTCAAAAATTTCCAAACCCTCAAACGTAAAAACTGCATCAAGGTATATCATAATCTAATTGCTTAAAACCAATGATGAAGAGAAAATCTCAAAAAGCAGCCACAGTAAAAAGATCTATGTGTAGAAAAGAGTGAAGACTGCTGTCCTTAGAAAAGGCTACTTGTGGGTTTGGTCCTTGGCTGGTGTCTGGGAACTTGGATTCCAAGAGACAAGTTTTGTTTCCCTCTTTCCTTCTGTCTGAAGGCTGATAACTCTATTGCAATGACCAAGGATTCAGGGAATGTTAATTCTGAAGTTCTCCATTCCCTGGACCCAAGCACAGTCTCTCCTATAGAAGCCTGTTCAAATGGCAACAGCTCTGAGCCCTCACTTAATTTACTCAGAAGGGGTCCAGCTTTCTCTAGTTCCCCAAATTTTCCCAGGTGCCCAGAGGTTCTTGCGCAGTCTCAGGATTTGGCTTTCATTCTGCCTCTCCTTGCCTGAAGAACCCTTCCCTGATGACCTTGTGATTTTCAGAATATCTGCAGTGATATGGCTCCAGCAGAGCTGCCCACCTCCTGTGAGCACAGCTTCACCTTCCTCAGCTCTTTGCTTATGCTTAGTCAGGGGAGTCACCTGGCAAGCACATGATCACATGACAAACATGGTCCCCAAGTGTCCCAGGAGCTCTTCAGTGATGAGTTCCTTGAGGATGGACACCATATCTTGTCTCCAAGGCATGACCACAGTGCCAGGTGGCTGGACCATGAATGGGTTATGATGGATCAGAATTCTCTGAGGACAGAATTCTCAGGGTTGATTCCTGGTTACTTGTCCAGGCTCCTATCATCATGCCCCTTAATTCCCAGCTATCCATCCCAGGGCAAACTTCCTCCCAGGGTCTGTCCTGTCCTTTCAGCAATTGGGCTCCAGTTGAGGCTACCCCAGTCCATAAGGTGTATTTTAATAATTTAAACTTCAGAGGGGAGGGATCAGAGTTCTCTTCCCTCTTCTCTTTGGAGGAACTTATCATATGTAAAACTACGGTTGCAAATAAATAAGTAAAAAGCAAATGGTGTGATGAGGGAGGGTTGATATCCCATTACTTTCCTGCTGGTCTTTCAATTCCAGTTGCTTGCTTAGGGTCAGCTGTTTGTAAATGCTTGTTGAATGAATAAAATAGAGGAGGTTAAGATGATTAGGCTCTGTGTCTCCACCCAAATCTCATCTTGACCTGTACCCCCCAGGTGTTGAGGGAGGAATCTGGTCGGATTGAAAGGAGGTAACAGTGGAATGCCATGCACGATCTCGGATTTTCTTTTGGGTAGATGACATTATTGGGACAAGTTGGTAAAATCTAAATAAGGTTTGCAGGGTAGATAATAGTATTGAATTTATGCCAAATTCCTGATTTTGATAAGTGAATTGCAGTTATATAAGGGAATGTCCTTCTTTTTAGGAACTATGTACTGAAGATTTGGGGGCAAAAGAGGACCACATCTGCAACTAACTGGAGATGGTTCAGAAGATGATGCACACACACTCAAGCATATCGAGAGAGAAAGGGGCAGAGGACACAGAAGGCCCTGAGTTTAATGTGCATGTTTTGGGGAATTTGGAAGAAGAGCCCCTGATAATTCATCCTTCATTATTCTTGCAACTTTTCTCTAAATCTGAAATTATATTAAAATATAAAGTTAGAAGAAAACATGAAGAGTACTCACTTAGTATTCATTCATCTCACACCGACATTGTACCCTCTCCAGACATTGATCCATGAAGTGACTTTTCCTGTGATGGGCCATGAGCCAGGGATGTGCTGGGGGGAATGGGGAGATGAATAAACTCCCACCTCACTCTTTAGGGGTCTGTGGAATGGTGGATGAGACAGACACACCTTGTCTCTACCCTGCACCGTGTAACTGGGCCTTGCGTGGTCCTTTGTGAGTGTGTAGTAAGGGTAATTTCTTCAGAAGAGTTCATGAAGAAGCAGAAAATATGGCCAGGTGAATACATTTTCCTTAAAAAATAACTTACATGGTGAAACCCCGTCTCTACTAAAAATACAAAAATTAGCCAGGCGTGGTGGCAGGCGCCTGTAGTCCCAGCTACTCGGGAGGCTGAGGCAGGAGAATCGCTTGAACCTGGGAGATGGAGGTTGCAGTAAGCCGAGATCGCGCCACTGCACTCAGCCTGGGCAACAGAGAGACTCTGTCTCAATAATAATAATAATAATAATAATAATAATAAAAATTACACATCAAAGTGCCCTTTGTATAAAGCACTTATAAGTGAGTCTATTTAAAATTAATTTTAGAGACATCATAAAAGTGAGTCATCTCATTTAATTTTTACAACCATCCTCTGAAGTAGGTACTTACTTAATCTCATTATGACACAACTTATTTGCAGTAAAGGAAACAAACGTGGAAAGGTTAAGTTACCTGCCCCAAATCAAGGAACTACAAGGAACTGTCCATCTGGACGCTGAGCTCTAAGCTTCTAATAATAATTGCACACCTCTAGGGTTAGGAAGGGCAGGTCTATGGGCTGATGAGAAAGTGTCTAGGAAGCCGATGGCCAAATTTACCTGCTTGGCTTTACGCTGCCTGCGTGGGTGTGTCCAAAGCTCAGAGCTCCTTGAGGCCTTCCTCTGTGGGTCCGCTAGAGGGCGCTGTTGGCCCAGTTCAGAAGTATGTTTTTGCCCTTGAATTCAGGTGTGGTCAGGGAAGGAATTGCTGTAAAAGCTAAAGAAGCTTAAGCTTCAGGACTTCTCACCTGTACAGACCCCTTCTGCTTTTGTACCTAACTTTGCATTTATAATTTCGTATCATTTTCCCATAAGAGGGCTTCCTGAATAAGTTGCGGGCTCCTCAAATCTGTAGTCCCCTTTCTTATGTCAATACTTTGGTAACTCAGCCTGGGGGACTGGGACATTGAGCGTCTTGAGCATCATGAAGTGTAAATTTCCAGGGCATCTGGCTGTCCGTCTTCCGGCTGTGGACTCCCGGAGAGCAGGGGCTCTGCCCTGTTTGACTTGGACTGTCTGCTATGTAGAACAAGCTGTTTGTAAATGTTTGTTGAAAGAATGAAATAAAGGAGGTTGAGATGGTTAGGCTCTGTGTCCCCACCCAAACCTCATCTTGACCTGTACTCCCCAGGTGTTGAGGGAGGAACCAGGTGGGAGGTGATTGGATCATGAGGGCGGTTCCCCCCATGCCGTTCTCGTGATAGTGAGTGAGTTCTCACGAGATCTGATGGTTTTATAAGGGGCTCCTCCCCCTTCACTTCCTTCACAAGCGTCCTCTCCTGCTGCCGTGTGAGATATGGCTGCTTCCCGTTCTGCCATGATGGTAAGTTTACTGAGGCCTCCCCAGCCACGTGGAACTGTGAGTCAATTAAATCTCTTTTCTTTATAAATTACCCAGTCTCAGGCAGTTATTTAGAGTCGTGTGAAATGGACCAATACAGAGGTAAACAGCCCCCCCAGCACCACTGCCGCTGCTTTAATCTTCTCTTTGGGTCTCAGTTCCCCAACTTTAAAGGTGGGGGCAGGCATTGGATTAGAGTTCATCTCTAAGTCTCTTTTCAGTCAGATGTTTACTCTAGGATTTGCTCCCTGTCCATCCCTTTCTCAACTCTACCACCTGTCATTTCATTTTATTTCTCTAGTTCTGTCCTCCTCTCCAGCCCATGCCCTCACATGGCTAGAGCCTCCTTGGCTCTGCTAACACCTTTAGGTGCTGGGATTACATGCATGAGCCACAGAATCTGGCCATGGTATAGAACATTTTTACCACCCCAGAAAGCTTCCCATGCCCCATTTCTTCTCCAGTCTTTGGCTTCTGGCAACTACTGATCTGTTCCCTGGCACTGTGCTTTGCCTTTTCTAGAATTTCATATACATGGAATCCTACAGAAAGTAGTCTTCTGTGTCTGCCTGCTTTCATTCAGCATAACGTTTTTGTGATTCATCCAGGTTCCGTCATGCATCTGTCATTCATTTCTTCTTGTTACTGACTAGTATTCTATTGTATGGGTATACCATAATTTACCTACCAGTTGATGAACAAGGCACCAGAATGAAAATGGTCCGAGTTTGAATTTAGACTCTGCTATGCGTTGCCTGTATGATCCTGAGCAAACTGTGTAGCTTCTCTAAGCCTCACACTTCTCAGCTGTACAGTAGGGACAGTAACACCTTCCCCTAAGGTTGCTGAGAGGATTAGATGAGCTCAGCCCTGAGGAACACCTCGCTGTGTGTCTGGTACTCAATAGCTGGTTGTTATCAAGGATGTATTGAACTGTCTGAACCAGGTGGGGGCATATTCTGCTCTACTCTTATCTTTCTTACAATATCGTAGGCAGATCCTTGAGATTTTTGGTCATTTGCAGCTAAGTACTTCAATCTGGTTTTTCATTTAATGCTCCTCTTTCCCACCCTCCCGCTCAGGCTTGACCCAGCCCCAGAGACCTGCGCCGGGAGAGGGATGGGAAAGGTTGGGAGCAATGGGCAGGATGCTAGCTGTTTCTCAGGGTGCCTGTGTGGGTTCTTCAGAGGTCCTCGTGAAGAGCTCTTGTGGGAGCCCTGACCACCCCATTAGCCCCCATCGTTGCCAGGGGGAGCCCACAGCTTCTTGCCACTCAAGTCTCCTTGGGTAATGATTAGGATCTTTGGACGTGGAAATTGCTCAAGTCTTGGTCCTTCAGTGGTGTTCTCTCCGCCTGTGGGAGACTCACGCATCTTTGCCATGCTATAGTGGGAGTGCCTGCTGCTGCACCTCCACCCCCTACCCTGTGCCTCGCTCCAGGTCTTTTCTCCCCTGTTCTGTTAGACTTAAGGGGCAGATCAGAGAGTCTGCTGCAGAAACACAGATCTAGGGTCCTTTTCTTTCAGGCAGCCCCTAGCAGATGCTGGGATGTGGGCAATGTCTCCTACCTACATTCCTTGTCTCTGCTAAAGTGCTCACTGGCTAACCTCCAGGGCAGCCCCTGTATCTCTTTGCCTGAGGGCGTTCTACAGTGGCCAGGCCCCGGGCCAGAGTAGTGGGCCTAAGTACCAGGAAATTAACACCACAGCAGCAGCCCTCCATGATGACTGGTGAGTGTTGGCGTGTATTAATAAATGCCCAGGTCCCTTGCCCCCTGGTGGGATGACTCTGAAAGTCGTCTTCCTCACTAGCTCCCAGTGTTTCACAGCAGGATGAATTCCCTCTCATCCACAGTGGTCACTTCTCAATAACCACACCCTTTTCACTGCCGTTCTTTCTCCAGCTCTTTCTTATTCCCCTCCTGGAGTTTCCTTGGATAATCTCTCAAGTTAGTCACGTGTCCTTGGATTCTTGCCTCAAGGTCTCCTTCTGGGGAACCCAAACGATGCCATAGCCCTAATCTTTGCAAATGACTTTCTTGAAGTTGGCTTGGGTGGGAGCCAGGGCCGTACAGCAGGAAACGAAAAGACACAGCGCTCTCCCCATATTTCAAATACTCCCTTGTCTAGTGAGTCCTCTGGAATTCCTCCAGGTCTTTTGCTGATAAAGGTTGGAGGGGCTTGGGAAGGGGTGATGGCTGTGGGGCAGAGGTACTTCTGTCCTTTCTTGGCTCATCTTGCATGGCTATGTCACTGTGCTTTTTAGAATGTGAGAGGATTTCATGCCCATTGTCCCTAGTTTGGGGGTTTATGCAGAATTTTGGGACAACAGGGAAAACCTGTTTTCTTAGCACAATGCACAGCATTTACATATTAGTCTGCTCAGGCTGCCCTAATGAAATATCATAGACAGTGTGGCTTAAATAACAGACATTGATTTCTCACAGTTCTGGAGGCTGGAAGTCTGAGATCAGGGTGCAGTGTGGTAGGGTCTGGTGAGGACCCTTTTCCAGGCTTGCAGAAAGCTGCCTTCTCACTGTGTCCTCACAAGACAGAGGGAGAGCGCTGATGTCTGTTTCTCTTCTTATAAGGGCACTAATCCCATCACGAGGACCCCACCCTCATGACCTCATTAAGCCTAATTATCTCCCAAAGGCCCTAGCCCCAAATACAGTCTCACTGGGAGTTAAGGCTTCAATATAAGAATTCGGGGGAAAACAATACGGTCTGAAGCAGCTTATTGACATGATGATGATGCACCTCTGATTTTACCACTGAAACCTGTTTCTCCTGCTGTATTCCTTATGTTGGGGAAGACATTCTTTCCTCCCTGACTTCCTCCTCCCCTCATGTCTGGTTAGGCATAAAGTGTTGTCAATTCTACCACCTCCTAAGTATTAAGTACTTCCTCTCCGCTGTCCTCCACAACTTCTCTAGGCCAGGCTCTCATGCCTCATATTGGTCAGGATTGAGTTTCATGTGTGTCCCTGTGAAGAGACCACCAAACAGGCTTTGTGTGAGCAATAAAGCTTTTTAATCACCTGGGTGCAGGTGGGCTGAGTCCGAAAAGAGAGTCAGCAAAGGGAGATAGGGGTGGGGCCGTTTTATAGGAGTGGAGTAGGTAGTGGAAAATTACAGTCAAAGGGGGTTGTTCTCTGTCTGGCAGGGGTGGGGGTCACAAGGTGCTCAGTGGGGGAGCTTTTGAGCCAGGATGAGCCAGGAGAAGGAATTTCACAAGGTAATGTCATCAGTTAAGGCAGGTATAGGCCATTTTCACTTCTTTTGTCATTCTTCAGTTACTTCAGGCCATCTGGATATGTATGTGCAGTCTTGGGCCCAGAGGCCTGACATTGAGTAACAGAAAACAGCTCCATTGCTTACAAAGGTGAAGGGTGTATTATTACATGCAAAAGGAAGTCTGGGGCAGGCAGTCCAGAACTGGAACAAATGCCCAAAAATGTCATCAGGGACCCTGGTGCCTCCTCCTGTTTCTACTCCAGTATCCTCAGTGTTGGCACTGGTTCTTGTGGTCACAGGGTAGTTGCTGCTTCTCCAGGCGTCACTTCCTCATTCCAGGCCATAACTCCTAATTGAGAGCCTTTGTCTTTTTTACTGGGGAGGGGCTCGAGTGAGTGTGCAGGGGCAGGGGGTGTGCAGATGGCTTAGAGTAGCCAGTTCCCGGGATTTGCTACATCATGTCTTACCATAGCTGCCTCCTAACTGATCTTTCTGCCTCCATTCTCACCGGTACATTCTTGTTGACAGCATGTCCCTCTAGGGGCAATAAGAAACCATTATACCTAGCAAATCAATGATAAGACAAATGGTAACCATAATACCAATGGGAAGTACTTATTAGATGTGTAAATTGCATGCGGAACATTTAGTGCTTAAAGGGATACTCATGAAAGCCACTTTGTTATTATTTCACTCTGTCCCTCTAATGCTGGCTGGAGGATGGCTGTCCTTTCCCTGTCCTTGGATGAAAACTCTGCTCATCTCCATGACTCTGTCTGTCACTGGAGGCAAGACAAAGCCCTATGGTCAGTGGGAGTTGCAAAACAGAACCTGAGTCTCTTCCCAAGGTAACACTCCTCCTTCCCCCATCCAGCTGGGACTAGCTGCAGACAGGACACTGGCTTTGGGAAGGGGGATAGCCCTTTTCTCTTTTTCACTAAGATCTGCTGTTTCTGATTCCTTTTGCTGTGGAGTATTGGGTAGAGAAGTGTGGAAAGAAGGAAAGTGGGTCAGCACAGTTCTTATGTGCCTGTTAACAGCATCCTATGGCTTCATGATCTTTGGCTTGGTATGAGATGGGAGCTGACTGTCCGCCAGGCACTTGGGTTTTCTGGAGATTCCCTTGCTGCCCTTAACTCCCATCCTGTGCCCCTGGGCACTGCTGCCCCACCAACTGCTGGATTTTCCAGAACCCACTCACACAGACGCAGAGACCTTCTCAGTTGGTTGAGATCCCCTGACTACACACTCAGGGGCTGCCCCTGAGATGAACATTTCATGTACAAATGGTATATTCAGGAGGTGCTCCCAGGAGAAAGCTGTGAGCAAATTGGGCCAGAAGGAAAGGGAAGGGAGAGAAGCCAAGCAAGGCAGTGACTTCAGGTGAAGCCCCAGCTTCAGTCTGATTCTGTGGGCAGCTCTGCAGTATATATTAGACCTTAGAGTTCGTTCCGACTCAGCAAGGTTGCTGGCCTTTCATGTTCCCACACTACACGGTTGTTGGCTCAGGACTGCACCCAGGGGCCTGTGAAGGTGCCCAAGGGCCGGCTTCCAGAGACACTCAGCGGGTGCAGCCTTTAGAAGCAAAGGCACACAGGACCCAGTAAGAATCATAAAAAGGCCAGGCACGGTGGCTCATGCCTGTAATCCCAGCACTTTTGGAGGATGAGGTAGGTGGATCACTTGAGGTCAGGAGTTTGAGACCAGCCTGGCCGCCATGGTGAAACCCCGTCTCTACTAAAAATACAAAAATTAGCTGGGCATGGTGGCACACGCCTGTAATCCCAGCTACTCGGGAGGCTGAGGCAGGAGAATTGCTTGAACCTGAGAGGTGGAGGCTGCAGTAAGCCAAGTTTGCACCAGTGCACTCCAGCCTGGGTGATACAGCAAGACTCCATAGACCCCCACCTCAAAAAGAAAAAAAAAAGAATAATAAAAAAGTACAAGTAGAGCACCTACAGTGTCCCCAGCATCATGCTTACTGGACTCTGGGGGCTGTTTATCTTATTGTCCAAACTTGTTTTTCCAGTGACCAGCTCCTCCTGTTTGTCTGACCCTAACTTTCCACCTTTAAAACTCCTGTCTGAGAAGCTGAGGCCAGCTGCAGT
The DNA here is from genome assembly GCF_000001405.40 of Homo sapiens. Taxonomy (NCBI): domain Eukaryota; kingdom Metazoa; phylum Chordata; class Mammalia; order Primates; family Hominidae; genus Homo; species Homo sapiens. The sequence goes on along the minus strand of NC_000022.11, from coordinate 35,225,635 downwards.
GGGAAGAAAAGGGTACATGGAGAGTGTCACTTTTTCTGAGGGCACCGCTATTCACCCCCCATCCTACCCCCCATTCTTCCAACATCCATCACAACTCATCACCATTCACATAAACTTTGACACACACTTTGTGTATTTCCATAATGTTGTCAGCTGCCCATAGAGCATTGAGAATATATTTCCCCATTCTAGAGTGTTGGTAACTCAATGTATAGCAATTTATTCCACAAACACAGACAGTAACTCAACTGGTGAGAGGAGAAAAAATAAAAAAAGGATGCTACCAAACCACCACTGTCTCAGCACTGGAAATCAAAATGGTAATGCATGGAATAGATTTCTGCAAGTAATAGGCTTGGTCGGCAGAAGTGTGAGCTGAATTAAATGCCTTCTAAGTAAATCTCAGCGTGAGTTATCTGTTCACTCAGACATGCACGCATGGAGACTGGAGTCTGTGTGGACAGACGGCACATGCTGTAACTTCCATTATCCCACACTGAGATTCTTTGTGAGTAGCCACAGTCAAAGGAACTGGATATTTCCTGATCACTGTGACAGGTGGCTACAAGTGTGAGGAGAGGCATTCATTCATTCCTTTATTAATTCATTCATTCTTCAAGCCTTTGTGAGGCCCCAGATGTGCCAAACATTGTGTGGGGCATTGAAGGTGCAGAGATACAGGGGTGAATCAGACAAGGTCCCTGTCCTGTGGACTCAAAGTCTGATGGTGGGGACAGAGCAGCAGACAGTTCAGGTAGTGAATGTTAGCATGCTGCAAAAGCAGGCAAGGTTGCAGGCTCTGCAGTCAGACCAGCAGCGTTGGAATCTGGGCCCTGCCACTTACTCGGTTGGGGAAGATGCTTCACCTAAGTTTCCTCATCTATGAAATGGGGCTAGAAATACTGTCTGTCTAAGGGTGG